>NC_000023.11:34994266-35144623 GCF_000001405.40 Homo sapiens
TATAGTCCCATGTTTTTGAGGCTTTTTTCATTTTTTACCAGTCTACTTTCTCTGTTTTTCAGATTGGGTAATTTGTATTTTTCTGTCTTCAACTTAACTGATTCCCCTATTCTCTCCATTCTGCTGTTGTGTCTATCCATCGAGTTTTTTTTTCCAAAAAAAATGGTAATAGCATATATTTTTAGAATAGACTATATTCTTATAGAAGTTTTAGGTTTACAGAAAAATTGAGTGAAAAGTATAGAGATTTCTCACATATGCCCTACCCCCATGCATGCCAAGCCTCCTCCAGTATCAACAGCTTACACCAGAGTGGTACATTTTTTACAACTGTTGAACCTACACTGACATATCTTTTTTACCCAAAGTCAATAAGTTACATATAGGTGTTACAATAAGTTACATTCTTAGTGTTATACATTTTGTGTATTTTGACATATGCATAATGACATAAGCCTACTCTTTCATATAAGAAATAGTTTCACCATCCTAGAATCTTCTGTAGTTCACTACTTCATCCCTTCCTTCTCCAACCTCCTTCAACCGCTGATCTTTTTACTGCCTCCACAGTTTTGCCTTTTCTGGAATGTCATATAGTTGGAGTCATACAGTTTGTAGCTGACATAGTTTGGCTGTGTCCTCACCCAACTTTAATCTGGAATTGTAACCCCCATATGTTGAGGGAGAGACATGTAATCCCCACATGCCAAGGGAGAAAGGTGATTGGATCATGGGGTTGGTTTCTGCCATGCTGTTCTTATGATAGTGAGTTAGTTTTCAGGAGATCTGATGGTTTTATAAGCATCTGGCATTTCCCCTGCTTGCATGCACTCTCTCTTTTGCCACCATGTAATACGTGCCTGCTTCCCCTTCCGCCATGATTGTAAGTTTCCTGAGGCCTCTGCAACCATGAGGAACTATGAGTCAATTAAACCTCTTTCCTTTATGATTTACCCAATCTTGTGTATTTCTTTATAACAGTGTGAGAATGGACTAATACAGTAGCTTTTTCAGATTGACTTCTCATAGTAATATGCATTTAAGATTTCTCTATTTCTTTTTATGGTTTGATAGCTCTTTTATCTTTAGTGCTGAATAATATTATATTGCATGAATGTACCAGAGTTCATTTATCCATTCACCTACTGAAGAACATCTTGGTTACTTTCAAGTTTTGACAAGTATGAATAAAACTGCATCAAACATCCAAGTAAAAGTTATTGTTTGGACATAACTTTTTAACTGATTTGGGTGAATACCTAGAGTATGATTGATGGATTATATGCTAAAATTATATTTAGTTTTGTAAGAAACTACCAACTGTCCTACAAAGTGGAGGCACCATTTTGAACTCTACCAAATAATAAATGAGAGTCATTTTCCTCCACATTTTCACCAGCATTTGGCGTTGTCCATATTTTGGGTTTTTGCAATCGTACTTTAATTTGCATTTCTCTGATGATATATTATGTAGAACATCTTATCATATGCTTATTTGCCATAAACATATCTTCTCTGATGAGGTGTTTGTTAAGGTCTTTAGTGCATTATAAATGAGGTTGTGGTTTTCTTATTATTGAGTTTTATGAGTTTTTTGTATATTTAGATAACAAGCCTTTATCAGATATGTCTTTTGCAAATGTTTTCTCCCAGTCTGTGGCTTGTCTTTTCATTCTCTTAATCTTGACTTTCACAGAGGAGAAGTTTTTTCAAATTTTAATTACATCTAACTTATTACATTTCCTTTATGAATCATGACCTTAGTATTGTATCTAAATAGCATCAAACCAAGTCATTTAGATTTCATCCTATCTTATCTTCTAGGTGGTTTACATTTTTTGTATTTTACATTTAGGTCTATGATGTATTTTGACCTTTGTGAAGGGGTAAGGTCTATATCTAGATTCATTTATTTTGTATGTGGATATTCTATTTTTCCAACACTGTTCGTTTAAAAGGCTGGTTGTTGTATTTTTAGTTCTAAAATTTCCAGTTGGTTCTTCTACAAAGAAAAAACGTCTGTCTCTTTGCTGAGACTTTCTATTTTTTTGTTTGTTTCAAATGTATTTATGAAGGTCACTTTATAATTTTATGATGGCTGCTTTAATATACTTGTTAGATCATTCTAATATCTATGTTATCTTAGTGTTGGCACCTGTTGATCTTCTTTTCTCAATCACTTTGAGATCTTCCTGACTCTTGGTATGATGATTGATTTTTAACTGACAACTTGATTTTTTTAATATTATGTTAGATTACTTTGGATATTATTTAATCTTGTATTTTAGCATGTATCTTCCAACATCACTCCAGCAAAAATAGGAGGCCAGTGTCATGTTACTGCCATGTTGGTCTCGAAGTCCAGGATCTCTACTTCTCCACATGAGGACTAACGATGTTGTCTTTTCAGTCTGAAAAGCTGGCACATTTAGAGAAAAGAAAGCAAGTGTATTAAACTCAGTGATTTGAGTATCAGAAGTACAGGAAGCATAATGAGTTCCCTGATAAACTCCAATGACACTCAAGGGGTAAGGGGTATCTTGTTACTGTTGGGTGGGGTTAGGAATTTAGGATTCCAGCTAGATCACTGCTAATACGACCTTGTTTGGGAAAGTCTAAGGCTCTAAGCCTGGCTCTTCACTGCTCCCTGATGGTCTCCACTAACACTAATTGACGGATACCCTTGTTACCACTAAACAGCGGTGAAAGACCTAACTCTCCATTATATCACCTCTGGCATGAACTCGTGAGGAGGGAGAGGAATATCTTGTAATCACTAGGTCAGAGTGGAAATCCAAGCTCCTCATGTGCTCTCCACTGACACTGCTGGTTTACCTCTTCTTTTCACCTTTCAGAGTCTTCTTGTGTTCATGCTATTTAATATATACAATGTCCAGGGGATTTTGTTGTACTTGGTGGGAGGAACAGGGAAAGGTAAATTTATCCCATCTCTTCAGAAGCTGAATTTTCCCTTACTGGATATTATTTACCCAATTTTATCTCACTGTGAAGATGCTACACTTGATCTGTTTACAATTGATAGTATTTTATTCAACTGGGTTTTAAAGTTTGTTCACTGTCAAGAATACGGACACTTTACAAATGACAAGCAACCCTGGCCAAATTCTGCTGTACGGAAATATAACAAGAAATATAAGAGTTGATGAATGGAAAGAAGAACCAGTTCAAATTAACCAAAATAGATGCACAAGTAAAATCCTTTCACTGGGAAAGGACATTATGCAGATCTAGGGAATATTATCTAATTGCTTGTCTGTGCATGGCCATGAGAAGTAACAATTTTATCTCTTCAGTCTGAAAAGCCAGGATGTTTCGAGAAAAGAAAGCAGGGTGTGTTAAACTCAGTGCTTTGAGTATCAGAAATACATGAAACATAATGAGTTTTTTGATACATTTCAAGGTGACAGTCAAATATTTTTGCTGTTAAGTCTCAGGGGGAAAAAAGCCTACTCAAAAAAATGACAACTTTTTTATTTACACCAGAACAGATAAAAAAAAAGTATGGATACATACAGGATTAGAAAACAAAGGTAGACTAAGACGTGGTTAATTACAGCTGAAATATAGTTAGGAGTTATTTAATTTGTATTAGTTTTTTTAGAAAAACATTTTCTTATACAAACTCATACTTTCCAATGACCTTTTTTTGGTACCAACACTAAGGTGTTAAACTCTGCTAATGAAATGGTAAACACAAATAAACTTTGTCCTTACTCTCGTGGAGTTTGCCATCTAATGGAAGAAAAGCATACTTATCAAACAATCATGCCTAGATATGTAAATTATATTCATGTAGTTTTGGAGCAGTTGTCAGGTAAGTCTTCTATGAAGCAGTCCCAATTGAAATGCATTCCAAAGGACTAAATGGTGCTAAACGTGCCATTAGTAGGAATAAACTATTCCAGGTAGAAGAAACAACATATAAATTGCCCTGCAGTCTGAGGGGGTGAGTTGCCTTAGGAAAATCTGAAAGAAGGAAAGGAGAGCCAGAGGAAAAATAGTGAAGAAAAACATGGTGCAAGATGAGGTTGAAGAGGTGAGGCGGGTCGAACTATTCCATCTATTTGTACTTGTATATTTGAGCCTTTATCAAATATAAGTCAGAAACTACTGAATGGATTTAAGCAGTGGTATATTATTTCTCCATATGAACATCAAAATTTTCACCTTGAAATTACTGGAAAAATGGAAGAATTGATAAAAGGTACCATTTTATCAGTAGTTTAATTCATTAGTTTAATTTTAGGGACAAAACAATTAATTGAGTTATGCTCCTATGGAAGCTTTTTGCCATATACATCAAGGGAAATCTTAGCTTATTGATCCATTAATCTATAACCTGTGGCATAATTTCCACTCAGCTCTTTGAGGTACAGCCACAGTGTCAAAAAGCAAACAAACCATTTCTGAAGTGCTA
Organism: Homo sapiens; assembly: GCF_000001405.40. NCBI lineage: Eukaryota > Metazoa > Chordata > Mammalia > Primates > Hominidae > Homo > Homo sapiens. The sequence goes on from NC_000023.11 coordinate 34,998,705, forward strand.
TCCTCACAAACTCAGAACTTCACAGTGATGACAAATGTCACGAGTTTTAATAAAGGTATGAAAGATCCAAATCAAATATCACTGAGAGATGATTAAGAGACACATGCTGTATTCTGTTATGTTTGCATAGAACATAGGGAAAGAACTTCTTTTAAATTTTTCCTTTAGTTTGTTTTCCAGAGGATCTTAGATTTAAGGTAGCAAACATGACAAGAAGAAAATTACGGCCTTAGAAACTGTCGGACTAAATAGCTCATTCTGAAAAGAATGGTGGTTTCTTTTAGATATAGTTAAATGCCAAAGCTATAATTTTCCATTTACATTCTTTCGTCATTGTATATGTAAGTTATTTATCCAATTTTATACCATTTGCTCTTTTTTAGAAAAAGTCTTCCTGCAGATTCATTTTAACAATAACTTTTTTTTCCTAAAACACATTGTAAAAACTGTTCCTGTCACTCTTCTTTTGATATCAGCCATTTCCTCATATAGAAGTCAGTCATCAAATGACTGAGGGAAAGGCTGTGTAATTCAGCTCTAATGGACTGTATTTTAAACTGCTCTAGTTTAAAATGCCACAGCCCACATATCCTAACATGTACACATTTCAACTAGAAAAGATCAAATTCTACTGTTATTGTTACTGGAATAGCTATTGACAGCTTTGTATTTATATTTTTGGGGGAAGATGGAGGTTTAATTTGAGGAAAGACAGATAAATCACAGGTGAGCTGGAGGCCATGGATGAAAGCTACTGGATGTTGGATAGCTGGGACAGAAGTTGAGGCTGCACATATATTTTTTTTTTTGGTACCAGCTAAGTTTTGATCCAATCTACTTCAATTTCATTTAATACATTTTAAAAATAAACTAATTATTTAAAGATTGTTATATGACCATAACTTGACTATAATACTATATTGAAAGCAGACTTAGTTTAATATGTAGTTTATTTTGATTTTTCCCTCAAAGGGCTTAATTTTCTTACTGGAATAACACATACCTCTTGAGTAAACAACCAAAACACTCTCTACTGCCATTTTATTTCTTTTCCAAAATGTTGAATAATAAGCCTAGTACATTCCTCAGTACCTTTGCGTTGTCATATGACACTGAGGCTGACAGTCCTTGCTTGTTAGAAACATGAAGTACCAGGGCTGTGGGGCCACTGGAGCACTTTCTAAGACTGTTGACAAAGGGCCCAGTGCCCACACATTAATCACACTGCTGGGCTATGTTAACTCTTTTCACTGTCATAAATGCTTAGTTCCCTCTCCACTATTTACTGCTTAGAACCCACCAAACTGCAAATAGCAGGAAATTTCTGGGAAGAGAGAGTACATGAATTTTGCATCCTGAATAGGAAGAGACAAACATACTCAGAATGCTTTAAAGACTTTACTTTATGTTCTGAGCTATTCAGCACATGGCTGAGCTCATTTCTTGCTCCCCAGATATCTCAGTTCCAAGGAAAACTTGATAAAATTTCAGTCTAATTTGTATTTGCTATTTCCTAAGATGAGTTAGAATTGCCTCTTTATTTTTAAGAAATAAAATCTCTGGAATTATGAATGCATATAAAGGGACTATGGGTAGCATAAACTTCGGAAAAAATTAGGATGCATTCTGTGATCAAAATAGTTTTTGATATATTCTTTATGAAAATATTTACTAAGTGCTTGTAGCCAAGATGAAATAACTCAGAACTGTGTACATTGCCTTAAAAATCAATCGTCACTTTACTCTAAACCCCACAGTGGCAAGTACAGGGTAGGATTTATGTTGGTTCTGAGAAAAACAAAAAAAAACTATTCAATAAATATGTATTGATAAATTCAATAATATTAAAAGTACCTGGCTAGCAGTGTTAACAAAAGGCAGAGACATATGTTCTAAGCAGAAGAAACATACTTAGCTTTTCAATGGAAGTGCAGAGACCACACAGACAGACAGTGGCAAAATTTCAAGGTATAGTCATCATACGGGGGGTGGTGGAGGTGGTGGATGTTGTTTTCTGATAAAATCAGACATGACTTACTGACAAGAGCAATTATAGTTATATATATATGTGTATATATATGTATATATGTATATATGTATATGTATATGTATGTATATACGTATGTATATGTATATATGTATGTATATGTATATGTATATATGTATATGTATATACGTATATATGTGTGTATATATATATGTATAAGGAATATATATATATTCCTTAGCTTCTCTTGGGGAGTGAGTTAAAAATTGTATATGCCCTGGGTCCTCAGTGTGTGTTGGGAGGGGCATAATTTGCATCCTTAACTAGCACCCTAAATCTTCCTGATGCAGGAGTGCCACAGAAGACCTCCTGAGGAATATCATCCTAGATTGTGGGAAGCAAAATTTACAGAAATCTGAGAAAACAGACTACACATGGAGTGGAAAGGAAATGGACATATAAGGTCTTAAAAAATTAAACACTTAGAGGAAGCTTGCTGGTGAATCTGAGAGAGAAGAAAAGGGAGTATCTTCATAAAATATGTATCAGCAGCAATTCTTTAAAAAGGTGTGTATCAGAAGACATCAGTCACCCTCTCTTTCAAATAATACACACAAACAAATGATTCTAACCAACCTCACAGCTTCAACCTTGCTCCAAACTCCCATCTTCTCTCGTAAGTAACAGCAACTCCTTCTAGCTGGTCTCCCTGTGTATTAGTCAATTCTCACATTGGTATAAAGAAATACCAGAGACTGGGTAATTTATTTTTTTAAAAAAGGTTTTAATTGGCTCAGTTCCACAGGCTGTACAGGAAGCATGATGCGGCATCTGCTTGTCTTCTGAGGAGGTCTCAGGAAACTAACAAACATGGTGGAAGGCAAAGGGGGAATAAGCAATTCACATGGCCAGCGTAGGAGGAAGAGTGAAGGGGGAGGTGCTACAGGCTTTTAAACAACCAGATCTCATTAGAACTCTATGACTGTACAGTAACAAGGGGGAATGGTCCTAAACCATTCATGAGAACTCCACCCTCATGATCCAATAACCTCCCATCAGGCTCCACCTCCAACACTGAGGATTACAATTTAACAGGAAATTTGGGTAGGGACAGAGATCCAAACCATATCAACCTACATCCACAGTGGACCTGTACAATCTATTCCCCAAAACCCAAAAGACAGGGTTACCCTGTTAAAACCTGTCAGATCATGTCACTCTGCAGCTCAAGACCTCTTTTTATTAATAGTAAAAGGCAAGTTCCTTAACATGATCTATCACATCCCAGTAATCCATGATCTTCTTCCTTTCTGACCTTATCTCCCACTGCTCAGCTCTTGATGGCTCTTCTCCAGCCACAGTGGTCTCCATTTTGATTTCTGAACACACCAAACATGCTCCTGCCCTAGGGACTTAACACTAGATACTTCTGCTTTCTGCCTAGAATGTTTGCCCTAGGAGTCTGGATGGTTAAATCCCTCTCAGTCTTCAAGTTCAGTGATGTCTTCTCAGAAAGTTCTAATTTAACAGCTTAATTAAAATTTCAACACCTCTACATACACACACACATACACACACACCACCTTGAGTATCCTTACCAATCTTCAATCCATTTCCATAGCATTTATCACATATTAACATAAATATAATAATTTATAAATTTATTATGCTTGCTGTGTATTTTTCTTCCATGCCTAGATCCATGCTATATGAAATCAGTGATTTTTCCATATTTTGTTCACTGATGCATTCCCAACATCTGAAACTGTCCCTGACACATGGTAATCATTCAGTACATACGTGCAAGAACAAATAAGTGAGTTAGTGAAATGCCTGAATACACACGCCAGATTCTAACCCTAGATAGTCTTAAGAAGGGTATGGACATGTATTTCTTCCTCTCTCCTCTCTCTCTCTCTCTCTCTCTCTATGTCCCTCTCCTCCTCTCTTCTCCTGCCTCATGCACTTTCTTGTTGTTCCCTTGGTGAGTTTGATATGCACTCTTAGTGAAGAACCAATGAGGCCTCCAGATGGAAGAGAGTTGATCCTTACTATCAAATAAAGTTAAATGGTGAAAAGCTATAAAAAGACTGATTTGACCTCCAGGAAAGCATTCTAACAATTTACAGATATTCAAAAGTGGAGTCGCCTACTATTGAAAGCAATGACTTTCCTATTACTATAGGTGTTTGACAGGAAGGAAAGCAAGCACTGGCATGGGTGGATTCAGGTTAGAGAAAAAGATGAACAGGGGAGCCCACACTGGGAATACTTAAAATGTAGTATAGCTATACCTAGCACAGGTAAAGAAAGTAGCAGGAAAAATGTTTTCTTGTATTGTGTTTGATTTAAACACACTCATCATACACGTCTTTATCCCAGAACAATTCTAGCTGCTTTCATTTTCAATTACTGATGCTTTAAAGTCAGCATCACTATAAAAATATATATAATGCTGTCAGTTTATATCTATTTTTAAAAACTACTTCTACTACCAATGAATATATTCACTATATGTACCAATGAATATACTCATTGGCAATGGAAGTAATTTGAAAATGTTAGCAATAGGAGGTCTTTAGTTAAGTGCTTAACACGTGGTTCAATAATATAATGACACTATATAACCAATTACTTAAATGCTAACAACAACAGTCAATTTATATATTCATGTTAAGAACTTATAGAACTATTTCAATAATAATTTACTGGCTTTTCATTTAATTTTGGGGGTATATCATGTTTGGGGATTGCCTTTAGAGTCCATCTTATCAGTTTGTGGCCACACTGTTTTGGACAAAACCAACAATGATATAAACAACAACAAACAGTGTAATTTGGTAAACTCGGTCACTTTTTAACCTGATATAACTTAAAAATTATATTTATATTTCAAAATATAAAACTCCTTCTCCCTCAAAATGTTGACAGTATTTCATTATTCAGGACAGTCTAAAGAGAAATTACAAACACAATCACAAGTTCAAAATATTTAAGAAATATATAATATTTTAAATAATAAAAATATTTAAGAAATATTTTGAACACTGGCAAATATTTATCATTCTATGATGATAATTCCTTGGATAGAAAGCACTCATTTCCTAGTAAAATGTTACATATGCCTATGGTCACCAGTTAGTCATTCAAATATTTTATCGTCACATACGGTGCATGTTGGGGAGAGGCTATTTATATATCGTAATGTTGTGTTAATCCCCCAAATTTTAACAGTGGAAATGTCCTCTTCATGTATTTTTATATAACAAGATTTATAAATAGAGATTGTGGTAAGTGTGGTAGGGAGAATAACGCCTCATGCAAAGATGTTCATGTCCTAATCTTCAGAACTTGTCAATGTGTTGGGTAGCTTGCTAAAGGAGAATTAAGCTTGCAGTTAAAAATTAAGGTTGTTAATAAGCCGACCTTGAGATAAAGAGATTATATTGGATTATCAAGGTTGGCTGAGTGTAATCATAGGTCCTTACAAGTGAATGATAAAGACAGAAGGGAGAGAATCCGAGAGATGGTAGCATAAGATCCTGACCAAATGTTGCCAGCTTTAAAGATAAAGCAGAGGAGACATGAACAAGGAATGAGGGCAGCCTCTAAAGCCCAGAAAGCCAGTTTTCCCTTAGAGTATTCAGCAGGGATCCAGTCCTGCTGACATCTTCACTTTAACTCAGTAAGATTCATTTTAGATTGCTTACCTTTTTAAATTGTGAGATGATAAATTTGCATTGTTTTAAGGCATTACAATTTTGCCAATTTGTTGCAGCAGCAATAAGAAACTAATACAGTCAGCAAGCATTTTTGTAGTCATAATCTTCTTGAAACTGTTTGAATAATGATTATGATTTTTTCTAATATTAGGTACCTTCAATAGCATTGTATATACTCTGTTATTGTTTACTAAATTTCTTGAATTAGATCTATATACTAGCATATAAGTGCTTAAAAGTGTTTTCTAAGGAAAGTTTTTTAACTATGAAAAAAAATGTGATGCACATACATCTCCCAGATTTTTATGTTCATTGTTTAGTTGCCTAATATGTAACTTTTAAAACAAAATAGCATGTATAATAGTTCTGAATATAAGATGAGAAATGATGTGCAGTGACTCTCTATGAACTGAACATTTCTGATTAAGATAAATGCTACCTAGATCTGAAATTATGAAAAAACGCACACTGGGACAAAACCATCCTTTTACTTCAGTAACTAGTGAGTCATGAGTATATCTTGATTAATAGCTGTCAGACCTCTAAAAGTTTAATTTGTTATTTTCTCTAATTACTTTATCAAACAGTAGTTTGCATAATTATTAAAAATTCTTATAAAATTAATATTGAATTCTACCTTTTCTTTTGTTAATTTAGACTTTAGGATTTACAATGATAATAACTCTGAACATGAAACAATTTGTTCATACTTTCTTCATTGACTCAGAATTTAATGTTAACTAAAAAGGGTTGTAAAGAGATGATGGCGAGATGTTGACTTCTATCATGATAAGCTCTGTTAACACATTCCCCAGTGACACCAGTGAAAATTATTAAAAGGCAACCTTTTAAAGCTGCTTGAAATGGTCCTTAGGACAAACAGCAAATGAAGAAACATCTAATTTTAAAATTATATAAAACTCAGTAAAAAGAGTAAACTGTGGTATTTGAAACAAGATCCCTCCTTCTCTCATCTCTCCCACCTCAGTGAGATGAAACTCCATTCCAGACTGTTGCAGCCAAGAACATAGAACTCCATTTTCCCACAGTCCTAGTTGGAAGGTTTCCTTTTCAGGAAAAAGAGGATTTCAGTATTTCTCATTCAGCCCAGCTGCCTTTTGCTGAACCTAAGTCTTTGGGTGAAGGGAGCACTGTCCCTCATTCCTCTCAACGCTAATTTGTAGAACAGGGACTCTACCTTGGCTGTATCACAGTAAGAGTACTGGGGCCGTCAGTACTCCTTCCTGTGACTCATGGTGCAACGGTTCCATGACAGGGAAGGCAAGCCTTCCTACTTTCTTCATAGGCTGCTGCCTTCCCAAAACAAATACTCAGCTTCTAGGACAGGGGCATTACTCAAAAAGAACCTTACCATTGTCCCCATCTCTAGCTCTGGAGCCCTGGATTAAAGATTTTTGCCTACAAAAGAGGCAGAATGTAAAACAGATAGCTTGAAATCTCTTCCAAAATAACTGATTTAATTTGCAACAAAGCATAGAGAAGTTTCAACTTAAAAGCACTCCCAATAACAGTACTCCACGCCTCAGTATCACACCTCGGTACATACCCAGGTAACAAACCTCAACATATACCCCCCTGAATCTAAAATAAAAGTTGTAATTATATGTGTGTATGTATATATACATAAACACACACACTATATATACATATACACATACACATAAATATATGTGTGTATATATATACACACACATACTGATATATGTATGTGTGTATATATGTGTATATATATGTATGTGTGTATATATACATAATTATATATACATACATATATTTATCTGTATATATATACACAAACACATAAATATATGTATGTATATATATATACACACAAACACATAAATATATGTATGTATGTGTGTATATATATATATACACACACACACATAAGAGACTGATTGTGATGAAAATCAATTGAGAAGAGGTTTAGGGGGGTCATGTGAATACACAGTTTCAACTGTAGGGTGTTTAGTTTTGCAGGAGAGAACTTGGAATTCAGACCATGCAGAAGAGCTTTAAATGTCAAACATTGATCTTAGAAACTATAACTTCAAGGGAGCCACAATCTGATTAAGTTAGTTTGTAGAGAAGTTTATGCCTCAGGGTATTATTGAAAAGAATTGAGCAACTGACCTGAAATTAGTGGAGTGTAACAGCTGGGTATGATCAGGGAAATAGTGAAAGAAAGCCATAGCAGTACGTCTGTCATCCTAGGGTGACTGTGGACATATCCAAAGCTGTGCCTCCCTGATGAGCAATAGCAGAAGATTAAATCCTTTCGTGGGTGATTGGGCAGATGGGTGGGAAATAGACTTCACCAAAATAATCTAGCCATTCACTAAACAAATAAATAAGTAAATAATAAGAAGCCCTAGATTTGAAGGCAGTACCCAGAGTTGTAAAAATGTATTGTCAAAACGTGGAATTTACAGCAAAAAAATAGGAGGCATGAAAATAAACAGGAAAATGTGACCCAAACACTGAAAAAACAAAGTGGACAACAGAAGCGACCTGTGAGAATGTCCAGATGCCAGATTTAATGGAGTAAGAAGTCAAAGTAGACATTACAAATATGTTCACAGAACTAAAGGAAAGCATAATTAAATGAGCTTTAAAAGGAAGGATGGTAATGTTGCACCAAATAGAGAATATTAATAGAAAGATAGGAATTATTAAAAAGAATCAGGCCAGATATGATGGCTCACGCCTATAATCCCAGCACTTTGGGAGGCCGAAGCGGGTGGATCACCTGAGGTCAGGAGTTTGAGACCAGCCTGACCAACATGGTGAAACCCTGTCTCTACTAAAAATACAAAAATTAACTGGGCGTGGTGGCGGGTGCCTGTAATCCCAGCTACTCTGGAGGCTGAGGCAGGAGAATCACTTGAACCTGAGAGGCAGAGGTTGCAGTGAGCCGAGATTGTGCCATCGCACTCCAGCCTGGGCAACAACAGCAAAACTCCATCTTACAAAAAAAAAAAAAAAATCAAATGATCAAATGGAAATTCTAATTTTGAAAAGCACAAAAACAGAAGGAAAAAATAACTAGAAGTGGCAGAAGAAAAAACTTTAAAAATTTGAAGAGAGATTTATAGAGATTATACAAGCCAAAAAACAGGAAAAAAATGAAGAAAAATACCCACAGCCTCAAGAAATGTGGGACATCATTAAGTGCACCAATATGCTTATAATGGAAGTACCAGAAAAAGAGATGAGAAAGAAGAAAAAATATTTAAATAAATAATGGCTGAAAACTACCTAAGTTTATTAACAACAACGTACACATACAAAGTGCTGAACTAATTCCAAGTAGAATAAATGCAACAAGACCCCAGTACAGACATATCATATTAAGAATACTTAATGTCAAAAACAGGAGAAAATCTTGAAAGCAGCAAGAGAAAAAAAGTACCATGAGAGAACTGTGATAAAATCAACAGCTGAATTCTCATCAGAAAACAGTGAAGACTGGAAAGTAGTGGGATAACAAATTCCAAGTGCTCAAGGGAAAAAAATTGTCAAGGAAGAGCTTCATATCCAGTTAAACATTGAGTTACCATATATTCCAGCAATTTCACTCCTAGGCATGTATCAAAGAGAAATGAAAACATGTTCACACAACAACTTGTACATGAATGTTTGTAGTATCATTTGCAATCTCTGAGAGGCGTATACATTCTATACGTCTAACAAGTGATGACTTGTTAAAATATGGTGTGCGCATAAATGGACTATTATGTGGCAATTAAAAATAATGAAGTACTGACACATGCTACGTCATAAATGATCACGGAAAATGTTATGCTAAGTGAAAGAGACCAGTCACAAAAGATCACATATTATTATTCAATTCATGTGAAATAGCAATACAGTGAAATCTATAGAGCCAGAAAGTAGATTTTTGGTTGCCTCAGGCTGGGGGAGGTAGGGTGGCTGGAAGAGTATAAGGATGATAGCTATAGGGTACTGGGATTTTTTGTTTTGTTTTTTGTTGTTATTGTTTTTACCAAGTAAGTAGCATGTTCTAAAACTAGATGTGGTGATGATTGGACATATCTGTGAATATACTAAAGACTATTGAGTTACATACTTTTAATGAATGGATTGTATGGCATTTAAACTACATATCAAGTAAGCAATTTTTTTTTTTTTTGAGATGGAGTCTCTCTGTGTCCCCCAGGTTGGAGTGCAGTGGTGCGATCTCGGCTCACTGCAAGCTCCGCCTCCCGGGTTCACGCCATTCTCCTGCCTCAGCCTCCCGAGTAGCTGGGACTACAGGCGCCCGCCACCACTTCTGGCTAATTTTTGTATTTTTAGTAGAAACGGGGTTTCACCGTGTTAGCCAAGATGGTCTCGATCTCCTGACCTCGTGATCCGCCCGTCTCGGCCTCCCAAAGTGCTGGGATTACAGGCGTGAGCCACCGTGCCTGGCCAAGTAAGCTATTTTTAAAACGTTTTGGAGGTGTGTATGAAGGATTTCTTTGGTCAGAAAAGTCAGAGAAAGATTTTCAAATAAAGTGAAAATTGAGTTCATTTCTGAAAAATAGAAAGCCACTATATATGGTGGGTGAAATAGTTACAGAGAGTATACGAACGTATAGGGAAAAAGGTATAGAAGGTTATGGAATAATTTAGAAGAAATTATTTGTACATAGATAAAATTGTGCAGAGATAGGCTCTAAAATAGGAGAGACCATCGTGCATTTGAGGAATTGAAAGAGAGCCCTGTGATTATGTTATAGAAAAAGGCGACATATTTTATGTGATGAATGTGGAAGAAGATGCAGAGGACATATGATGCAGGAACCTGAAGATACTTATTAGGAATACTAGTTTTTAGCCTTAGAACAATGGGAGGCTAATAAATTGTTTTAAGGAGGAGAGTGTCATAATTGCATTTGACTTTTAAAAACAGTATTAATAAATTATTAGCAAAGCAATCCTTTTCAATGAAAAAAAAACTTTAAAGATTACCCACAACATTGATTCATTTTTTCTGATTTTTTATTATAAACCATATAAAAGATATTTGAGATAGGACTTAAAATTATGTAATTCCAATTTGACTTAAAATCTTAGTGATTAAATGCATATCTATTTGTATTCTCCAGAGACTAAATTAGAAGAAAGAAAATTTAAAAGGCCAAAACCCACAAAGATAAAGAGAATGAAAAAAGAAACAAGAGTAAACAGAAATCTCCACACAATTTTGGAAGTTGGAAAGAAGATGAGAAATAGTAACAGATTCACCTGACTGGGGAAAAAAGTAGAAAGTGAAACCAATGCAGTAGAAGCCAAAAGAGAGTAAGACCAAAATCTCAGGTTTCAGAGTTAATGATTTTCACTGATAGCAGGTCACATATGAGGCTAAAGATAGTTGTAATAGTTAAAATCTGCTTAAGAAGAAATGGGACTTCACTTCCTGTGTCCTCTTGATTCCTAGAAAGCAAGATTTTACTTTCCTCACTTTGATATAAGATAGACCATTTATTTTCTGGTGAGATTGAGTCAGAGAAAATCAGTACTTGGGTATACTTAAAAACGGCAATGAGCTCATACATAAAAACTAGTACATGAAGTAAATATCTATCCAGAATGGTGACATTCCTAGTGCCTATCTCCAAAAGACCCCACTCAGCTGTCCCAAACCACACAGGCTGTTTTATACTACCTAGCCAAAATATAGGAGGATTCCATTTTGCGACAATTGATGGGTCTCAAGGAAATAACTTATATAAATACTGCCAATGGAGGAATCAAACAAACAAATGTTGGCCAAGAATGGGCCTCATCATAGGTAAGTCAGGAATGGAAACAATGACATTCAAATAAGTAGTATTTCCAATATGGTTTTTAAAGTGTAACTCAAAAACAAGCATCATGAAAAAGTGGAGATAACCTTAAACAAAGAAATTAAGACAAACCAAAAGAAAAACTTTTAAAAAACCTGATAAAATGAAAGGGGAAGAAAAAAAAAACTTAATTTATAATTAATACCATTAAATGATAGATAATTCTATTCATTGTAAAAAATGTTATAAAAACAGGAACACTCATATGATAAGAAAGAATACTTGTAAGTACATGTGTCTATATAAAATCTTACATTAAAAATATAATTTTAAATTTTGGAAAATATAGTTGAAAGATCTCAGAAGATGGAAAGGAAAAATACAATAACAAGATGAGATTAGTTATAGAAAAATCAAATATACACTAATGAGAATATGAGGTGGGGAGGGCAGAGAAGACCAAAGAGAAAAATGGATAGTGTATTAGGCTGGGGAAGTCTCACAATCATGGTGGAAGGTCAAAGGCATGTCTCACATGGCGGCAGACAAGAGAAGAGAGCTTGTGCAGGGAAATTCCCCTTTTTAAAACCATCAGATCTCATGAGACTCATTCACTATCATGAGAATGGTGAAGGGAAGACCCCCCCCCCCATAATTCAATCACCTCCCACCAGGTTCCTCCAATGACACATGGGAATTGTGGGAGTTACAATTCAAAATGAGATTTGGGTGGGAACACAGCCAAACCATATCAGATAGAATTGGAAGGGAGGAAAGAGGAGAAAAGAGGGGAGGGGAGGGGAGATGAGAAGAGAGGACAAGAGAGGAAGGGAATATAATTACTTAAAAATAATATAAGCCACCACCCCACTCCTGGCAAATTTCCAACCCATTCAATGCACATGTACCTCACCAAACTGTTATGGCTGCTGGCATGCACAAGTGAGCACAGATTACTCTGCAACCACCATAACCAAGTTATTTGGATGGCACCTCCCTTCAGATTGTTGTGGCTAACAGAATGGAAACACCTCAGCATCTCCAGCACAGTAGGTTTCTAACCTAAAGGGGCCAGAGAACAAAGCCACAGGCCTGGAATGAAATTGTTAGAGTTAGATCTTACAACACAGGAGTGCTGAGCTGAGCCTTGGCCCCCTAAAATCTTCCAGAAATGAAGTCAGTCAACTGAATCCTCCTTATATCACAATCAAAATTCCAAGAGCATGAAAGAAGCAAAAAATGAAAAACAAAACAATTAAGCATGGCTACAAGATCTAGAAAATAGCCTCAAAAGGTTAAATCTAAGAATTATTGGCCATAAAGAGGAGATAGAGAGAGAAATAGGAATAGAAAATTTATTCAGAAGGATAATAACAGAGAACTTCCCAAACCTAGAGAAAGATATCAATATCCAAGTACAAGAAGGTTATAGAACACCAAGCAGTTTTTCTTCTCTGACTAAAAGATACAAAAATTAGCTAGGTGTGGTGGCGGGTACCAGTAATCCCAGCTACTTGGGAGGCTGAGGCAAGAGAATTGCTTGAACACGATAGGCGGAGGTTGCAGTGAGCCAAGATTATGCAACTGCATTCCAGCCTGGGCAACAGAGCAAGACCCCGTCAAAAAAAAAAAAGTCAAAAAATATCAGATTCTGGCAAGGTTGTGAAGTAAAGGGAACACTTCCATTACACTGATGGTAATGTAAATTAGTACAGTCATTGTGAAAAGAGTGCAGTGATTTCTCAAAGAACTTAAAACAGAACTACCATTCGACACAGCAATCCCATTATTGGGTATATACCAAAGGATTAAAAATTGTTCTATCAAAAAGACACACGCACATGTATGTTTATCACAGCACTATTTACAATAGCCAAGACATGGAATCAGCCTAAATGCCTATCAGAGGTAGACTGGATAAAGAAAATGTGGTACATATACACCATGGAATACTATGAATCCACAAAAGAAGAATGAGATCATGTCGTTTGCAGCAAAGCAGATAGAGCTGGTGGCCATTATCCTAAGTGAACTAATGCAGAAACAGAAAACGAAACACTGCATTTTCTCATTTATCAATGGCAGCTAAACACTGAGCACACCTGGACACAAAGAAGAAAAAAAAATGGACATCAGGGCCTATTTGAGGGTGGAGTCTGGAAGGACAGTGAGGATCAAAAAACCACCTATCAGGTGCTGTGCTTATTACCTGCGTGACAAAATAATCTGCACACCCACCCCCCTGTTACATGAGTTTCCCCACATAACAAACCTGCACATGTACCCCTGAATGTAAAATAAAAGTTTAAGAAAAGCAATATAAGAACATTTTTCAGAATTATATACATATGACTTTCAAGAGAGAAAGAGCCTGGTGAATGCCAAGCAAAAGAATAAATCAAACAAAACTCCAACTGTCTCGAAGTGTTTATCTTTTGGCTCTTTTAGGACTTGGTTTTCAGGATAAATTCAGCAGCAGCACATAACACAGCAGTGGCTGAGAGTTACTCTGTGTCCTACCCTAGCCCCATTTGTATGGATTCAGTCAACCAGGAAGGGGGGTTAGTGAATGATAATCATTGGTATCATAAAGAATGATATTAGTAAAGAAGATGTCAGCAAAAAAGATGTTCTTAAACTACATGATGCTTTTTTTAGTCAGCAGTTCCCTACTTTAGTGCTCATACAGTGTACTTAGTTTTGGTTCTTTGTTATCCTGCTAGACTATTACTTTCATGTATCCCAGTAGTACCAAAGCAGCTACAGGACCCACTGACATGTGAAGAGGCAAAAAGTAGGTAATTCCTACTATCTTTAGCTCTGCTGTTAGCATAGGCCTCATAACTAACTAATGGATCTGCCAGAGTACCTGGATAATTATGCTTTACTTTATTGGAATAAAAACCTCCTAACCAATTGTTTATCTTCTTCAAGTGGAGATTTATCAGAAAGCAAAGTATATTTTTTCCAAAAAGTTTAACAAGTAAATATTGGGTTATGCAGAATTACATCATCCCCTGCTCCTATACAGACTCCATTTTAGACATTCTATGAATCCCTATTTTGAGGGAGTAATCAAAATTAATAGAAAACAATAGATTAGGGATACATATAGTTTTTAAGATTTCATAATAATTAAACATTTTATTGAGACAATAGGGCTGTTGAAATTTTGCATAATGTTAGTCAGGTGCTTTGGTCTGAATGTTTGTGTTCCCTCAAAATGTATATGTTGAAATCCTGACCCTAAGGTGATGGTATTAGAAGGTGGGACATTTGGAGGTGATTAGGTAATGTAGAAAGTAAAATGTCTCCTCTTCAAAGTTTTCCTTCTTCTTAAATAATAAATCATAAGTGTTAGAAATAATAGTTTCTTTTAAAGACTAACTTTCTTCAAGCCTCCTTGCTTTGTGCTAATAACTCTTTGTTAAGCCCTATCCTATGTAGCTGTTGGACATGCTCACAAGTACGTTGCAGTTCACAGCCTATGCGCCTTCCTTATTTGGAAATGTTATTGCTTCTTTAAATCATTCGTAAGCAACTTCCTCTTTTCCTTTGTTCTCCCTTGTCTTTACCTATTTAAGAAAGTTTTAGGTTGTTAGCAAATCGGGTATCAGTTTAGACATGAGGTTCGGCTCCAGTCAATGGATGCAGAACACAGCAGTAAGGACAACCCAAATGCGTAAGGGATAAATATGTCTGCTTTTCCTTTGTTAGGTGTACTCTCATGGCAAGACTACTGGCGAGTGTACCCTTTCTGCAGAAAGTAAAAATTGCCTTGCTGAGAGAATTAAATTTATGTTCAAGTGCTATTTCTTTCTGGTACCGGGGAACAAGAATTTTGCATTTCTAACAGTAATGAGGACTTCACCCACATGTATGGGATTACTGCCCTTATAATAGAACCCTGAGAGGGGTTCCCTGCCCCTTCTACCATGTGCAGGCACAGTGAGAAGACACTGTCTGTGGGCCAGAAAATGGTTCCTCACCAGTCATTAAATCTGTATTAATCTTGGAATGCCCAACTTCCAGAACTGTGAAAAATAAATTTCTGCTGTTTATAAGCAGCAGTACTCAGTTCATGGCATTGTGCTGTCTCTCTTTTGCTCTGGCTCTTGCCATTGCTCTTGCTTTCTCACTCTGTTTTATCTTTTTGGTACCATTCATACTTATCAAAGAATTACCACCAAGTGTTTATAATAATAATAATGATTTTGGGGCAACAAAGAGGCTCAGAGAAAAGAGTAGTTTTGCAGTCAATTCTCAGGAGCTTGCCATCATTTTCTTACGACTGTATTTGTCTATAATTAGTATTATAGCAGCACTAACAGACTGAGACATAGGTGTTCCAAATATTTGAGTTTTCATTTGTAAAGCCCTTTTCCTAATAGAAGAGAATATGTCTGCAGCGTCAAGGTTTGCTGCTTAGAATTACTCAGCCAAAAACAATGTTTTGTATTCACAGCTATAGGGAATCCTTACCTTATTCAAGGACAGTTGAAGTGGTGCACTTTATTTTCTTGTCATCTTGGGTGTCTACAGAAAAGTTATTTAAGCGTATTCTGGCCAATTACTTAACAAATGTGTTGCTAAGGTGTTTTGACCAGGAGTTGAAGACATTACCATAGGCAGAAGGATGTTTGAAATATTGTTTTCTTTGTTCAGAAAAATGTAAAATGCCAGTTCCCAAAACAAAATAAACTAAACTGAAAGAAAATTAAACCATCCTGCTCAGGATGCCACTTGGGGGTGTTTTGAGCCAGTGATCATTGAATTTGCCATTATTTTATGATTCCAACAGGGTTAATCCTGCTGTGCTGCAGCTATCAAAAACCACAGAAAATTCTTTATTTCTTTATTTTATAATCATAGCTCACCGACACCTATGATAAGTAGCAGGAATATTTATGGCATAATTTTGTGCCGAGGTTGAGTTCTCTGTTTCTTTTTCCTTTTTCATGCAGTGACTGGCTTGCTAGATTTCTTCTGATTATTTTACCAATCTTATAATTTGTTTGGTTTATTAGCAACAAATCTCTATTTGAATTGTGTACCCCACAGGCTGAAGTGCAATGCAATCCAATACAAATACCTATAATTCACTTCAGCTGTTAACAGTATTCATTCCCTACCTGGCCATGTTTAGAGTCCTTTACAACCAACACAACTCATCTACTCTGTCCACTACCACAGCTCTTCTAACCTTTTCTCCCAACTACCCTATAGCCCCAAGGGTAGTTGAAATTCTACATCCTAATTGAGTTGAAGACCTTTTCCCAACATGATTCTCTAAGATCTCAAGTCAATGAAGTGGCACATGAGATATTGTTGAAGAATAAACAGATTCTAGGAGAAGAGACGTTTATATCCATACCAAGAAGATGAGTAAGCAATCCATACTAGTGTGGGGATATAACACAGAAATAAACATAAGTTGTCTCTTTGTTTTAAAGTTTTCTGTTGAAACAATGACACTGGAATTGTTGGGAGTACCAGCTTACTATTCTGTTCACTCATCTACATAATGAAAAACTGTCAAACATAGGTGTTTAAACTGCTTTTTGATAATTAAATAGAATATTTTTGCCTAGTCAGCTTTCTTTGGAGCAGTACAGAACACGGCTTTAGTCTTGAAATTACTTTTTCTGGCTGTTTATGTTAATTCAGGCATTACATTTCCCTATTACTATTGTCCAATCCTAGTTTACACTTGAATCATCTCTCATCCCCTCAGACCTGAGAAACCCATTGTTATATTTCAAGTGTGAATATTTTCACATGATTAAGATTTTGGATTGGACTTTGAATGGCTCTACCCTTTCCCCACTATGAAGGGCTATGAATCAATGACAAGTTGCCTTTGAACATAGACATTCACATGTCCTAAAAACAGAATGCAATTTTTGTGAAATTCCTGATAAACGTGAGTTAGAAAGTCCAAACTACTTGACCTGAAAGTACGTGCTGTGGCCTTGGTGATCCAGCTAATTAGAGGGTCCCTCATTCTAAAGCACAATCTAAGAGCACAACCTCCACATTCCTTTTAAATGACTCAAGCATTGAACACTGCAGTGTGGGTGAGACACTGCTGTACTTTAGTAGATATCAGTACCAAAGAGACATTTGACATTCTCCTCCCATCCTCCACCAATCATGAGTAGATAATTTGGTTGTTTCCATATTGAAGCAGAAAACACATTGACACCTGCAAACCAGGAGTAGAAAATTTCACTCAGTCACTGAGGGGGAGACTTCTTTCCTGCACTTATACCCAAGTCATGGCCATGGAAATGAATCAGGAAAACCATACACAGAGAGACCAAAATTCTAGATAGGCCAATACTCATTCAGAATGTTCTCTGGACTTCATAATTCACAGTTGTTTGCTATCAATCCGGAGATGTGGCTTAACTGAAACCCTGTCAGATATAAGAACAGGAAGTTTTAACATTTGTGAATCAAACTAAGTCAGTAACTTAAAATGGCCACAAAAATTGATAGGTTAAAATGTCTAAAAATAGATTTATACCTAGAGTAGCTCATAAGGGATTTCTCTTTAATTTAGTTAGTAGCACTGAAGTTCTTGCTTATATACAAAAGCCAGACACCATCATTATCACTTCCCCACTCGTTAACAAGTTCCCTTTAACCATAATGCCTGTACTTGTGATATTTCCCAGTGATTTCTGATTAAAGCCGCCTGACACCTGTGTGCTTGCTTTGAGGTTTGACTATTGAGTATCTTTAGAACTGTGAGGCATTTGTTCTTAGCCTGGCTGGTGGTCCACTTATAATGCATAGCAACGTTCCTTCTGCAAATTGGGAATATAAAGAGGGAGATGATTTTTAGAACCTGAGAGAAGTGTCTTTCATGAAAAGAAAAGCTGGTTGCATGCCTCCCTGAAGTCCTGTGGCAGTTAACGCTGGCCCTGAGCCTCCTGGAGTGAATTTATAGCATGTAATCAAGTGTGATTTGTTTTGATTACCTCAGAACTAATGAAGGAGTACCTCCCACACAAGGCCTCCATCTAATTAGAAGTATCTGGTAAGAAGGTATTTGCATATTTTCAAGTCATATTATGTCATGAGGACGTTTGAGTTGATGAAAACTGACATTTACTATAAGATAAAAAGGCAATGCATTGAAATCAGGAGTCATGAGAGACTCACAGCTGTGGATTTGGATGCCTGTTTTAATTGATGAGACACAGAGGCTCTGCCTCATGAACAAATCAGAAAATGAAGCATGAAGAATGTAAAGATGCAGAGGTCAGAATATCACGGCTGGAGGCAGAGCTGCAGACACTATGATTGGTGCATCCAGGTCCCCTGATTGCAGTTTCTAGCTTTTTTCCTCTCTTGCACTGGGATTATCAGAATTTAGGTGAAAATCTTCCATCTCTCTCTTGCTCTGGCTGTTGCTATTGCTCTTGCTTTCTCACTCTGCTTTAGCTTTTTGGTGCCATTCATACTTACCAAAGAATTACTACCAAGTGCTTATAATAATAGTAATAATGATTTTGGGGCAACAAAGAGGCTCAGTGAAAGGAGCAGTTTTGCAGTCAATTCTCAGGAGCATGCCATCATTTTCTTATGACCGTATTTGTCTTTAAAATTACAGTAATAACTGCTGCTTACTGTATGTCTAGCATTGTCCTACATTCATCACATGAATTAATTCATTTATATTTTAAAAATTCACTAAAGTAGGTGCTTTTATTATGCTCATACTAATATTTAGGAATTGGGGCCTAGGAGTGCTGGAGTAATTTGTTCAAGATCACCCAGCTTTTAAGCTAAGTTCAGAATTTGAACCTAGCTGACCTGACTCCAGATTCTGAGCTCTAACCACCTGAACTTCTGCTGTTTTTTTCCTCAAGGGAGGAGTGTTCACACACACACACACACCACACACACACACACACACACGACTGGGTCAAAGTTTGGCAGGTAGTGACCCAGCCCAGTTAATCAGATCCCTCTCCACAACTCTTGATACATCTAGTAGGGAAAAGGGGCTTTTTCGTGTCCAGAATTGCTAGCTGTAAGAACACTATGTGTTTAGAGCAGCATCTTTGTTTCCACATGGGAAAACTGGTCTAGGAATAAATGCAAGAAAGAGAAGAGCAAAGCTGAGATATGGAGAACAGAGAAATGAGTCTTAATGATATAATTCAAGCCCCCCAATCAGAAAGGAATTCAGCCATATCTGAAGACAGCAAGCACCACTGTTTTCATGCAATGCTCACATCCATCTCTTTGGTTTAACTGGTCTAGGAGAATTTTCTGCCGTGGATCCTGAAAAACAGGCTGTGAGAGTGAAAAGATGAACAAGGCGTGTTGTATATACCCAAATATCACATATATTGTGCTTTGGAGCGAAGAATGGAGTTAGATGATAGCCTGCACTAGGGCATCTTCAGAAAGGGAAATACTCCATGTTTTTCTCCTAAGATGTAAACGAAAGAGTTCACATTTGCATTATAGAAAGCATTTTAAAAATATCTTCAAAAAACACTGACACTCAGTCCCTCCCTTGTCCTGAGGACATCTGAGGAATCAAGCAAGTAGTATAAAAAGTAGTCTTTTTATATATTTCTTCACAGTTATTTTTATATATTTATTTACTGTTGATGAACTGGATTGGTTCTCTGCATTTTGTTGTTGAAACAACCTCTTGCTTGCATTATTATTTCCATTTTGTAGATGAAAATAATGAGCCGCAAGAAGGTTCATGTTTTATCCAAGGCCATAGAAGTAATAAGGGGCTGAGCTTACATTTGAAACCAAGTTTTCTGATTCTATATATGATGTTGATACCTGAAGATAATTCTTTCTTCCATTCTTACTAGTGCCTCATTTTCCAGCAATAATTTTTACATTCAGAATACATTCAAATCATCCATTTTTTTACAAACAGATTTACTGAGATATAATTCACACGCCATGTACTTCATTCATTTAAAGTGTTAACTCAATAATATTTAATGAACTCACAAACAGGCACAGCCATTAGTACAATTTTAGAACATGTTCGTCACTTCAAAAACCGACTTTTTAGTAATCACTCCCACTTTCTCCTGCTACTGCCACTCCACACTCTTCAGCCTTAAGGAACCACTAATCTACTTCAGTTTTCTATATACTTTCCTATTCTGGGCTTTCCTACGAATGCACTTATATAATATGTAGTAGTTTTTCGTGACTGGCATTTTACACTTAGTATAACGTTTTCAACATTTATCCATGTTGTATCATGTCTCTATACTTCATTTTTGTGATTTAACAATATTCAATTTTATGTCTATACCACATTTTATTTATCCATTGATTAGATGATGAACCTTTGGGCTGTTTTCACCTCTTGGCTATTATGAATAGTGTTGCTATAAACATTTCTGTACACACTTTTGTATGGATATATATTTATTTTTTATTTCTCTTGGGTACATGCCTAGCAACAGAATTGCTGGGTCCTACGGTAACTTAATGTTTAATTGTTTGAGGAACTGCCATACTGTTTTCCAAAGTGTCTGCACCATTCTATTTTCTTACCAGCAGTGGATAAGTGTTCTGGTTTCTTTACATCTTCTCCAATACTTGATGTCTGACTTTTGGTTTCAGTCATCCTTGTGGTTGTGAGGTGGTATGTCATTATAGTTTGCATTTGCATCTCTTTGATGAATAATTATGCTGAACATATTTTCATGTGCTTATTGGCCTACTGGTGTGTCTTCTTTGGAGAAATATCTGTGGAGATTTTTCTCAAAAGAAAAATCTCATTTGGGCCATTGTGTTATTAGTCTATTCAGTACTCAGTACTGTGTTCTAAGAATTATTTATATCTTCTAGGTATAATATGTGATAATCTATGTATAATAACATCAGATATATGATATACACATTTTTTCCCATTTTGTGGGTTACTTTTTCACTTTCTTGATGGTGTCCTTTGAAGCATGAATGTTTTAATTTTTATAAGAAAATTTTTCTATTTCTTTTTTTCTTTTATTGCTGATGCTTTTGGTGTTGTATCTAAGAATTCTTTGCCACATAAAAGGTTACAAAGTTTTTTCTAAGAGTTTTATAATTTGATCTCTCAGACTTAGATATTAGAACAATTTGAGTTAATGTTTTTTATATAATATGAAGTAAGGGTTCAACTTCATTTTTACTTGTGGATATCTGCTTGCCCCAGCACCATTTGCTTAAAGACTCTTCTTTTACTCATTAAATGGTCTTGGCATCCTTGTTGAAAATCAGTTGACCACAGATGTATAAGTTTATTTCTGAAGCTCCCATTCTACTGCATTCATCTATATGTTTTTCCTTGTGCCAGTACCACATTGTCTTGATTACCACTGCTTTGTAGTATGTTTTGAAATTGAGGAGAGTGATTACTCTTACTTTATTCTTATTTTTCGGAATTATTTTGGCTCTTTTGTGTTTCTTGCAATTCCATATTAATTTTAAAGTCAGCTTGTCAATTTCTGCAAAGATGTCATCTGAGATTTTGTTAGGGATATATATTTATAATTGTTATATCTTCCTGAGGAATTGATATGTTTGTTTTTATAAATGTCTTTCATTACTTCTAATAATAATTTTTTATTTTAAAGTTTGTTTTGCCTTACATTAGTATAGCCACTCCTGCATTCATGTGGTTACTATTTGTATGCTATATCTTTTCCGTACCTCCATCCCTTTATTTTATTTTATTTTATTTTATTGTATTTTTATTTATTTTTTTATTTTTTTTTGGAGACGGAGTCTCGCTCTGTCGCCCAGGCTGGAGTGCAGTGGCGTGATCTCGGCTCACTGCAAGCTCCGCCTCCTGGGTTCACGCCATTCTCCTGCCTCAGCCTCCCGAGTAGCTGGGACTACAGGTGCCCGCCACCACATCTGGCTAATTTTTTTTTTTTTTTTTTTGTATTTTTAGTAGAGACGGGGTTTCACTGTGTTAGCCAGGATGGTCTCGATCTCCTGACCTCGTGATCTGCCCGTCTCAGCCTCCCAAAGTGCTGGGATTACAGGTGTGAGCCACCATGCCTGGCCTATTTTTAAAATATTTGTGTCTTTTGAATCTAAAGTATGACTCCTATAGACAACATATAGTCACCTCATGTTTTTAAAATTTAGACAGATAATTTCTGCCTTTTTATTTGATTGTTTAATTCATTTACATTTAATGTTATTGCTGACCTAGTTAGATTTATGCTTGCCATTTTATTGTTTTTAATTTTCTATATGTCTCATATCTTTTTATTCCTGCATTCCTCCTTTACTGCTTTCTTTCACATTAAGTAAATATTTTCCAATTATCATATTTTTTATTTGATAATTCTTTTTGCTATGTTTTTAATGTTTCTTTTTTTTTTTATGGTTCCTCTAGGGTTTACCATGTACAGTCAGCCCTCCATATATGTGGGCCCCACATCCATGGATTTAACCAACTCCAGGTTAAAAATATTAAATAATAAATAAAAATTAACAATACAACAATAAAAATAAAACAAAAAATACCATATAACAACTATCTACTTAATATCTACATTATATTAGGCATAATAAATAATTTAGAGATAATTTAAAGTAATGACTAGGAGGGCCAATTATCTAACACTGGATGAGGACAGTGAAGCTATGTCTGCATTTGGATGCCCTAGAAGCAGACCTGAGACAGGACTGAAGTACAGTAGTTACAACTAAACACAAGAGCCAGGAGCAAGACAAAAAAAGGGAAACCACGGGTAGAAGGTAAACTATCAGGCAAGTCCCCACTGTGGATTGATTACTGGAGCTTAATCCCGATCCCACCGGGAAACTCTGGGTGTCAGTGTAGTACATGCACCTCAGAGTTCTCTCTTCTCATGGGCAAAGGAATAAGACTATTTAGACACCAGTTTCCATCAGTCATTGATTGAATGCTGCCTTCCAGGACATTAATCCTCTGGCTCTCACAGCTGCCCTGTGTGGGCAGGGTGGATTTTGGTTGTCGAGAAACGTCCCTAGGCAGTTGGAAGTCCCAGAGCTTGCATTGCAGTGGTAAGGCACCAGGGGATGGAGACGTGGATGGAGACGTGGATGGAGCATCAAAAGGATCTGCTACAAGCAACCAGGACAGATTTCAGCAGAAGAGTCCATGTGTTAGTGGTTGGTATTTCAGAGGGCCTGGGAGTGGACAGATCAACAGCTGTTCTCACAAAAGCAGCATAGAGAGTCAAGGCCTGAGGACCTTGGTGAGGACAACTTATAATGGGAGGATGAAGAGCCATGCCAGTGTCAATGAAAAGAGTCAAATTCTGTAAAATATTTGAAGAGATTTATTCTGAGCCAAATATGAGTGACCATGGCCCGTGACACAACCCTCAGGAGGTCCTGAGAAGATGTGCCCGAGGTGGTTGGGGTGCAGTTAGGTTTTTTGCATTTTAGGGAGGAATGAGACATCAATCAAATATATTAAAGAAATGCATTGGTTTGGTCCAGAAAGATGGGGCAGCTCAAAGTGGGGGGTTTTCCAGGCTATAGGTAAATGTAAACGTTTTCTGACTGACAATTGGTTGAGTTTGTCTGAAGACCTGGGATCAATAGAAAGGAAATGTTCAGGTTAAGATAAAAGATTGTGGAGACCAAGGTTCTTTGGAAGTCTTACAGTGACTGCCTTTAGAGACAATAGATGACAAATTTTCCTATTCAGATCTTTAAAAGGTGTAAGACTTGTATTTAATCTCTTTAAGATTGAGAGGGCCTGGAAGAAAAAGACCTAGCTATGTTAATAGAGATTCTTTACAGATGTAAATTTTCTCCCTTTGCATGGACATTTCAAGATATGGCGAAGAAACATGTTTGGAGGTAAAACATTCTGATTTTCTTCCTTGTCTAATAGTGTTATGCCGGAGTCAGGTTGGAAAGTAAGTCATGATATATAGGGTTAAAAAAAAAAAACCCATCTGATGAGAATCTATGGTTTGTAAAGCATGACTCCCCAGATCCCTTAGATAGGAATTTGGACAAGATAAAAAGAAAAAAATCAGAGCTTAGTCTTCAACAGCCTCTGTCTTTGTGGTTGAGATTCTGTACCCAGAGTTGGAAATGTCTCTATCTTTTCTTCCTACCACAGGTGGTTGTTGGATATAAAAGGCATTTTGGGAATGTTTCTTCTTTCAGCTCTTGGGCTAATCTTGTTGTCATAACAGACCATATGCTCAGTATTTAAAATTAGGTGTGATTTACAGAGAACTGTGTTGCAACAAGAGAGGAAGGGAGTGCACAGAAGCCAGTGGCTGAGTGATCACAGTGCACCAAATTTTCAACATATCCAAATCATAGTAAATTATTCTAAAACCAAAGACCTCATCCAAGAATTGCCTTGTGTTCAGCAGCAAAGTGTAAGAATCATGTCCTCAGGTGCAGAGGGAATACCTCAGATAGACTCAGCAGGGCAGTGATACATTGGCAGGTAAAAGGGCTGCTGATAGCCTGCTTTCAAAAAGTGTGACCATCTTCATTCATTAACACCTTAACTGTATTCCCTTCCATTGAGACTTTTACTTTTTCTCATAGCTCCTGAGAGATAGCACAGGCTTTCAGGGAGGGGCTGGTTTCTTCAGCAAAGTTTCTTTGGCAGCCTGGCAGTGCCTCTCCTGGACAACTGCCATGGCTGCCTCTCAGGGATGTCTGTGGCTTAGGAATCCAGAGAGAGGGAGAATAGTTGTAGACATTCAAATAGTCATGGAGTCCAAGACTGGACAGTGAACAAAATATCCTAGGAGATGGGAATGGGGTTCATGGGGCTCAGAAATTGATGGGGGTTCCAGAGCTTGTTATCAAGAATGTTATTAGAAGTACTTCACAACAAATACGGTGCAAACACTGACCAATAGGCAGAGCTTGATTCAGGGTCCCAGCTGTGTGAGACACTAACTCTGTGGTTACTAGGTCCTGGAGAAGGGACAAGGGTAACAGGGGCAGTGGAGGGCTCCTGTAGAGCATGTAGGTATCCCAGAGCAGCCTCAGTTTATTAACTAGTCTGGTACAGGCCAGAGTGAATGAGCATCCCTGCATCAGGAGTTCCCCTTGGTGCCACAGACTCCAGGTCACCAGCAACTTAGATGGCATCTTTGTGTGAATTAAAGAAAGCATTCTCTGTTGTCAGACTGGGTGAGTAGGTGGCTGGCTTCATTGTGAAAAGGAAAGGCTCTCAGGAGGAAGAGTTTATAAGAAATAAAAGATTCTCTGGGGAAACGAATGAGAAAAAGACAGCTCCTCAGAATGAAAATGTACTGTCTTTAGGAGAATGAACTAAAAAAGCCCCCACCCCACTCTATAAAAAATGTTTCCCCCTTGTGAGAAGAGAACTCAGACAGAAGTGCCCCACCCTGCAGACACAGCAAGGGGTGTTGATGTTGGAGAGGGGGATATGGGCTGGATTTTAGCAACCCCACACCTCCATGACTGGGCACTTTTTGCAATGAACAAACCTCATTGTGTATGGTGGCCTTGCTGAACCCTGACTATATGTCTCAAGGTTACCCCACTCTGTCCCCTAAACTTAGTTCCTCTTCTTTCTTCATGAGCACCATGCCCCCACCCCAAATAAATAAATTAAAAGTTTAGAGTTTACACCTATACACATTGATGTAGCATATCTTTTTCAATTTATTTTAAGCTGGACACATTTAACATAGCACAGTGATGTAGTGAGAAACTCAACTGGCGATGTAGATGGCTCTGTGGTAAACAAGATAATTCTTTCCAATGTCAGGTCCACAACCTTGAATCCAGGGCAGCCCCTCTGCTCCCAGAGCAGAAGGAGAAGCAGCCAGGATTGGTGTGTGTTCTTGCAAGCCATTCCTCTAACATCCTGCAGGTTGGCCTGCAGGGATCACTTCCAAGGGTAAGAGGATCATTCAGTGTTCACAGGTCATTGATTTCCTGGCCATAGGAATAGAAACTGTCAATATGGTGCCAATTGTTGCAAAGGTTGTTTTGTGAACCATTCTTTTTGCTGCTGAAACTCAATTTGTCAAGGCTGCCAGACAGTCCATGATGACATTTAGTCACTATGATCTGGGCTGGATTTGGGTCATTGACTTGGTTCCTGCTTTAGTCATCTAGTATTCTGGAGTGTAACCATTTTGCATATTTATACAAGCATATATATCTTAGACAACTACAATGTCTGAAGATTTAGGACCTCTGCTTTCATAGTTTTCAGTGATATATATTAGCAGAGAAACACAAGACAGGCTCTGAGCAGGATGGCAGGAGAATTGGTTTTCCACTATCTTGGTAGTGTCTGGCAGGTCACCTCACACCCTGGAAAGCAGACCAGGCTCTCAGATGAAATGTTTAATGACGCTGTGACTATAAATCATGGCATCTTGAAGGCACACTTGTAATTCTCCTAGGGCATTATAGAGTGGCACTCCAATTCTTGTTGACTCAGGAAGCGATTGCATTGCCTGTATCAAATCCACCTCAGGCTGCCCCCAAATAGTATAGAGGCAGGAATGCTGAGTCAGGCACAGCAGTGCATTAGGTTTCTGCCCAGTTACTCCACTGCACTAATGTTGGGGGCCCTCTTATTTGCCCTGTAATTGTCCCCTGTCAAACTGGACCCCTGCAATGATGTCTGAGGGCTGCTCCTCTACATTGTCACATCCTTTCCCAGGTTACACCATAGCCCTGATGCTCTGCACTTCTGTTTGCCTCTTCCTTGGCTTCTGTGCAGTTACTCGACTGCAGTGGTTGTGCAGGTTCTACCTCCTCAGGCCTTTTACCTCCCCTGTGCAGTTACGTCATTGAATTCATGAGTCAAGTCTCATCTTCTTTGCCCTGGTTACATGATTACAATGATAGTATGGATATGTTCATCTCTGCTCTGTTTTCCTCCTCTGGCCTAGCACAGCATACATTGACAGTGTGAAGACCTGTTTACTCCTTTCACCCTCTCTATTCACTTACACAATGGCCTAGATGATGTAGGTTTTCCCATCCTCACAGCTTCGATTTCCCTTTCCATTTAATGAGTCCCCTGATAGGGTTGGGATTCTCCTCTTCACTCTGTTCAGATTCTGAACCCAGTAATACAATAGCATTGAAGAGATGGGGACTCCCTCCTGCCCTTTCACCCCTCTCACATGCCCTGTCTGTGCACACCACAGTATTAATGGTGGGAGGATCCTCCCTTGCTCATTCAGATCCACTTTGCATTTACACCATGACACCAATGCTGCTTTCCTTGATCTTGTTTACGTTGCCAACCCAAGTACAAACCAGCTACAACACTGTGCTGGTGCTTTGGGCATGCTGCTTCTTGTTCTGTCCACCTTGCCATATAATCACGGTGCTGATGGTGCAGGGTACCTCCTCTTTGCCCCATCTACATAATGCTGCTTAGATACAGCACTGAACTGAGAGTTTGGGACTTCTTTTCTGCCTCATTCTTATGTCCTGTCCAGTTATACCTCAGTACTAGTGCTGTAAAGATTCTCCTGTTCTCTTTGTTCACATCCTGTATAGAGTTTCACCACTGAACTTTTGAGGGAGGACTTTTTGCCCTTTTCACATCCCACATCCAGTTCCATCTATGCAATGATTAGAATTTTAGAATGCCAAGGAAGGCCAACAGCCATTGCAAACTGGAAGAAGCCAGGACTGTTTTTTTCTTCTGGAGCCTCTAGGGAGAGTATTAGCCTAGAAATACCTACCTTGATTTCAGACTTGTAGCCTCTAGACATGTGACAGAGTAAAGTTTTCTTGTTTTCAGGCACCACATTTGTGATAATTTGTTATAGCACCTACAGGAAACAAATACAGCCCCAAGATTCCAGGCTATATTTCTTGAAACCTGCGAATATTATGAGATGTCACTCCTATGCTTGTGTTATGTTATGTGGCATAGGTCCCCTTTAAAAAAGAAATGATCTAGGTTGGCCTAATGTAATTACATGAGCCTTTAAAAGCAGAGGATTTTCTTCAGCTGGTGGCAAAAGAGAAGGCAGGAGAAAAATTCAGAGAGAGTTGAAGCATGAAGATAATTCAACAAACCATTCTTAGCCTTGTAAATGGTATGGGTCAAGAGCCATGTAATGCAATGGGCTTCTAGAATCTGAGAATGACTCCCTAGCTGATATCCAAACAGCAAAAGGGTACTTCAGTGCTACAACCAAACAGAACTTAATTTCTCCAACAATCTGAATGAGGTTGAAAAGCAGATTCTCCCTCAGACTCTCCAGATAAGATCCCAACCCAGCTTGGGATTTTGATTTTTGACTTATAAGACCCTAAGCAAATAAGCCATTTGAGCCTCTTCAGACTTCTCATCTACAGAAATATAATACATTAAAAATAAATAAATTTAAGCTGCTAAATTTGTGGTAATTTGTTATACCCACAGTACAAAGTAATTCATCCCCTCTCTATGTAGTCTTCTCCTATGTAGAGATTTTACAATTATTTCTACCTGGTCCACAGGCTTCTAGAAGCCCCTTCCCCTACTGCCTCCTCCAGAACTATATTGGACATGGTCATCTCTGGTTTCCATTCCTGCTATGATCTTGGGGGTATTGTAAATCCTATCTCTGTCAACTGGAAACTTTATGCAGTTCATCAGCGTGGGATTTTGTTGGACAAACAATGACTCCACAAGAATGTTTCAGTCTTCTTTCAAAAGTGGAGAAAACACCTCTCAGCCTTAGAATTCACGCATGGAATGTGAAAAGTGCTCCCATTCCCCCAAATACAAAGAGGACTTACCTGATTTACCTCATAGAAACTGAAAAAAAACTAAAAAGGCAGTAAAACTGTTTTACTCTTCTCTTTATGATCCTTGATGATTTTTATCTTGTTACTTTTAGACTGGCTATACAACTTCTTTTTTCTATTTTTACGATTTATCAAGTACTATCTCCTTGGAATAGAGACATATGTCAAAATTCAGCTCACTGCATCATATTGATGAGAAATTAAGCACTGTTTTATGAAGGATATGATACACTCATGCAGATCCTCATGTCCAAGGTCATAATATGGGATTTGGTTTCTGAAAACAAAACACAGAATTCTGGCTTGAAACCAGGCTTCACTAAGGCTATATATAATCACATACAATACATAACATATAAAATTTCAGAAACACTCAGATCACACACAGACACACACATACACACATCTTTTGAAATAACTGCAATAATAAAAGGAATTAGAATGGAATGGTCATAATCTATGAATACCTCATGGCACCCAAGGCAAATATAGTAAACTAGTAAAACCAGTAAAAATCCTGGAAAAACAATGGTAACTTTCTATGGGTATTGTTAGTTGGTGCCCCACATTAGTCCATTTTCAGACTGCTATAAAGATATTACCTGAGACTGGATAATTTATCAACAAAATAGGTTTAATTGACTCATAGTTCTGCATGTCTGGGGAGGCCTTAAGAAACTTACAATCATGGTGGAAAGCAAAGGGGAAGCAGGCACCTTCTTCACAAGGCGGCAGGAGAGAGAGAGCATGCAGGGGAAACTGCCACTTTTAATACCATCAGATCCCATGACAGCTCCCTCACTATAATGAGAACAGCATGGGGGAAATTGCCCCCATGACACAATCACCTCCTACCAGGTACCTCCCTCAGACACAGGGGGATTACAATTCCAGATGAGATTGGGGTGGAGACACAGAGCCAAGCCATATCATGCCTTATAAAAATATCTTTAGAATAAAGAGAAATAAAATACAGTTGAATCATGAACAAATCAGAGATAGGGGTGCCGACCCCCTGTGCTGTAAAAAAAATCTCAGTATGACTTTTGACTCCCCAAAATTTTAGCTGCTTATAGCCTACTGTTGACCAGATGCCTTATCAATAACATGAGGTCAACAGGTGTTTTGTGTGTGATATGATTATATACTGCATTCTTAAAGTAAGCTAGAGAAAAGAAAATGTTATTAAGGAAATCATAAGGAAGAGAAAATGTATTTACTATTCATTAAGTGGAAGTGGATCATCACAAAAGTCTTCATCCCCATTGTCTTTACGTTGAATAGACTGAGGGGGAGGAAGAGAAGGGGTGGATCTTGCTGTCTCAGGAGTGGCAGAGGCATAAAAAAATCTGTGTGTAAGTGGACTCACACAGTTCAAATCTGTATGGTTCAAAGGTCAACTTTATTTTCAAAAGAGAGAAATTCATTTATATTTTAGACATTATCAATTCATTTTCCAAGACACATTGATAACAATATTCATTACCATAAAAAAATTTTCATTAACTATATGTCCCTGAGTTTTCTGTGTTTAAAAACATAATAATGATAACTAAGAGGCTCTGTACTCTAAGAAATAAGAGGAAACAAGAACATGGCACAAAATCAAGTGGAGTTGATAGTTTCTTCACATATAGATGGAGTTAAAAAACTTTTACAATTTGTTTAATGTCATATTTCAAGTTATATTTCTATATTTAATTGTTTAATGGTCAAATAGTAGATATTAAAGAGATGGTAGGGAAGGAAAAGGGTCAGGGGAAGAATATGCAGAGATCAGGGAGACTGAGGACCTAGGGGGACTGAATGAATTATTGACCAGAGTGTATGAAACACTTTGGCTCCCTAGTGACTAAGTGTCATGGCTGTTGAGACTCATGCTTAAACTATTTGAGATTTATACAAATGTCCATGATGAGAAATAATTATAATTTTACTAAAGTAGGAATATGAATACTGAGTACAGCAGAACAGGAGCTAGACACACATAAGGAGCCCAGAATTCTGCCACATAGTTATATCTTAAGAGAATGTTTCTTTTGTCCTGTACTCAGCATTATTTACTGAATAACTCCTAATTACTCCTTGTTACTAAGATATATACAAGTTTAGAGATTTGTAGACATTTTACATCTCGGACAGTATCTCTAGGTAATGTTAAAATTATAATGTACTTTATTTTTTGCCCTTCATGTGAAAATGCACACATTTTCAGTTATCTGCTTGGCGTATCCTCCTACGTATGGCATGAAACCTTCAAATTATCCTCTCCAAACTTGATCCTATGCCTATTTCTATTTCTTAATCTCAGAGGCAAGGCTGAAACTTTCCCTTTTTTTCATGTATCAAATTCAATCGAGTCAATAATGTCCTGCCAATTCAACCAGCCAAGGCATTTCTACAGGGTGTATCATATTGTTATCCTGCTACAATCCTAGCTGAGCATTACCTATACCATCTTTTATACCAACCCTTCCCCTTTACATGGAGCTGGCTCACTCACACTATATGTCAAAGATGTGTAAAACTCCAACATTAGGAGAGTGGGATTTCTGAAATGCCTGAGTGAAGAACTCAGAAAATACCCCCCCAGAAATAAATATAATATTAAACCAATTTGTAAAAACCACCATATAAAGAAATTGGAAATGGATAAAGACACATTAAAAATTGAGAAGCAATTATGAAAACTTATTAAACCTTGGTGGCTGGGCACAGTGGCTCACGCCTGTAATCCCAGCATTTTGGGAGGCTGAGGTGGGTGGATCATTTGAGGTCAGGTGTTTGAGACTAGCCTGACCAACATGGTGAAATCCTGTCTTTACTAAAAATACAAAAAAATTAGCCAAAAGTGGTGGTGCATGACCGTAGTCCCAGCTACTCGGGAGGCTGAGGCAGGAGAATCGCTTGAACTCGGGAGGCAGAGGTTGCAGTG
The DNA here is from genome assembly GCF_000001405.40 of Homo sapiens. Taxonomy (NCBI): domain Eukaryota; kingdom Metazoa; phylum Chordata; class Mammalia; order Primates; family Hominidae; genus Homo; species Homo sapiens. The sequence continues at coordinate 35,030,931 of NC_000023.11, forward strand.
AGTCAAGATCATGCCACTGCACTCCAGCCTGGGCATCAGAGTGAGACTCTGTCTGAAAAAAAAAAAAAAAGTATTAATTCTCGGTAAGGACAATGAAAATTTGTGGTATTTTAGCCAGGGGCTGTTTGCATCTTACCCACTTCCTCCATCCCATACTGCCATCTATGCCCATCCACTGAAGAGAAAGGGATCCAATTTCCCTGAAATTAAGGTATCTCTGCATGCTGTAATGCTGCCTGAATAACTTGGGGTTCTATTTTTTACCTACTACCTGAATATTTTGAGATTCATTTGACAGGTAATAAGGGTAAGGATAAGCCATAAATAATATGCATAACATGTGTAGGTATATATAATGTTTATTGGACATCTACTATAGGCAGATCAACAAATGTATCTCAATGGAAAGAATATTACATAAACATTGATATCTTCTGAAAATACACATACTTAAAGGTGTTTTAATTTTTTTAAATTTGATTTTGCTCATTTAGATGCCTTGCTTTTTTTAGCGACTTTAGAGTTCATTAAAATTATTTAAAAGCATTATGTGTGTTTTTGAAAAATATGTAAATTGACTCTTAGATTCGACTATTTATTTATTTGTTCATTCATAAATATTTATTGGATACCTACTGTGTGCTACATACCATTCTAGGCAGTGGGAGATACATCAGTGAGGAAAACAGACAAATATTCCTATTTCTATTAATCAAATGGAGAAGATAGATAACAAATAAGAGAAAGATATGTATGTTAGAGGATTATATAAGCTTAAATTAGAATTGTGTATTTGAAAATACAGTATATTAATAGCAAATTTGAGCTATAGTAAGGCCAACAGATCGGCAGGTGCTTATCACTGAAAAAGATAGTTTATCCCTTACAGTTCCCAAAAGAAAGAGGCATGAAATACTATGGGTGTGGGGAGGGAGAAATAACAGGGTCAGTCAAGAGGCAGAGGAGAGAGAGAAAGAAGCATGTGCAAGAGTCTTTATTGTGGCTACTGCAAGAAGAAACGGGCAAAACACAGTAAGCAGATTTAGGATTGGTTAGTTTGAATAATTTAATAAGTTAGGTGTTGTAGGTGCTGTCCCTACATGTCTGGTAGCGGTCCCTGGGGTGAGTAGAGAAGATAAGTAGCCCAGAGTGTAATAGCCTGAAAAGGTCGGTGGTAGGATTGTGGGTTCTGGATCACTTGGCTTGTATTTGAAAAGTGTCCTCATAGGTGAGTTGTGTACTATTTCTAGGAATTGGCAAACCCTGGGAGGAACAGTCTTTCCAGGGTCAGCAAGGTTCCATATATCAAAGCATCAGAATAGAGAAAATTTTAAGAAACATGGTTAATACAGTAGGAAAAACTAGGACTTCTAAGGCTGATCAGGATGCATCTTATATGTGAGATGATAGATATATTAATTTGCCTTACTATAGTAATCATTGTACTATCTATATGTATCCCATAACATCATGTTGTAAACCTCAAATATATACAATAAAATTTATTTGAAAAATAAAATGAATGAAAGAATAAATAAATAAGGAGCAGAATCCATGCTGGCCCACAAATGCAAAGGCGTGTACTGGGGCCATGGATTCTGTACCCATGTTCCTCTCAGCCAGGTGCTCTGTTGCAAAGCACCACCTTCACACTGAAAGGCAGCACCTCTGCCAAGAAGACAGTAAATTTAGCCACACAATACATAGAAGAAAAGCATTTCAGACAGAAGGAACAGCTAGTGCCAAATCTTGACGCAAGAGCTTATCTGAGTTGTTTGAAGAAGACATTATAGCTTGACCAATGAGAACAGAAAGGATGTTAGTGGAAAATTGGGAAACAAGGTTAGAGAGGGACCAGATTATATAGGGCCTTGTTAAACATTTTAAATGTTTGAGCTTTTACTCTCAGAGAAATGTGGAGCCATTAATAGGTTTTATGCAAATAAATAACATGATCCAAAGGACTTTCAATATGATCATTCTGGCTGCTATGTTGTGACCAGACAGCTGAGGAGCAAGAGTGGAAACAAGGAGAACAGCAGGAAGTCTCCTACAGTAATGTGAGCGAGAAACAACAGTGATGAAAAATGAAGCAATTGTGATAGAAGTAATAATTTATCTGATTTTGGATATATTTCATAAGTAGAAGAAACAGAATTTTCTAAATAGATTGAAAATGGAAATAATAGAATGAGAGACATTAGGGATAACCTCAAGTAATGTGGTCGAAGAAACTGGAAGGATGGAATTGGCATTAATTAAGATGATGAAAAAGCAGGTTTATAGGTGGACACTAAGAATTCAGTTTCAGATATGTTACATTAAAAATGTCTATTAGCTATCCAAACAGGGAATCATCAAATAGGCAATTAACATTGAGAGTCTGCAGGAAAGAGAAATTGCCCATATTGGAGCTACGATTAAGGATTCATTATAATGCTGATGGTATTCAGAACTCATGTTGAAATTACATCAGCAAAGGGATGAATGAAGTGATGAGAAGGCTCTGGACTGATCCCAAGGGTACTTCAATGTTAAAAAAAAAAGTTCAGAGAGAGGAAGATAAAACAACATACACAAAAAAATGAAGAAAGTATTTACACAAAAGGCAAATAATCAGCTATTTTAAAGGTGCTGATATTTCAAGTAAGATACGGATTAATAATTTGCCATAGGATTTAGTAATATGGTGAGCAGTAGCGACTGGTGGGGTTGTTTTGATATTTTAGTTTATTGACTGGTTCCTTTATGTAGACCAGAAAAATCATGAATGAATGGTGATGTGATAAATGTACTTAGGGGGTACTTTGCTGAAACTACTCATTTTGGAAGTTGGGTGTGTTTTCAGAAAATCTAGGCATTCTTTAATGTACTCTGAAGGTTATAATATATTCAGTAGTCTCATAAGTAATCTGCATTTTATATCTCATATGTTAAATATAATTCATTAAAATAAACTCAACCATAACAAGCTAAGCATTATATTATTAGAAGATTCATAAAATAGCTGTTTGATTTTTTTGAACTATTTCCTACCTTTTGCTTTTATCATGACAAAACTTGTCAAAACCCAAGTCCATCAACAGCTGAATGAACACGCTAAATGTGTACATATGTACAATGGATATTATTCAGTCATAAAAATAAATGAATTTCTGAAACATGCTACAGGATGGCTGAGCCTTCAAAACATTAGGCTTAGTAAAATAATCTATACACAAAAGGATATCATATGATTCCACCTATATGAAATATCCAGAATAGGCAACTTCAACGAGACAGAAAGTAGACTAAAGTTTACCAGGGGCTGGTGAGAGGAGTGGGGAGTTATTGCTGAATGAACAGAGTTTGTTTTGGATGATGAAAAGGTTTTGGAAGCAGATGGTGGTGGTGGTTGCACAAGGTGGTGCATGTACATAAAGCCACTGAATTATATACTTAAAAATATCTATTGAAGTCCATAAGTGCATTAGTAGTTTAAAAACAAGTGGCCTAAAACCCATTTAATAGGTGATCAATTTTGAGAATCAATTAATTTTCCTGTATGAAAAACTCCTGCTTAGAAAAATAGCCCTCAAAATCTTTACAGCATTACTTCCCAGGACCTGAGCTAAAAATGTAAATCAGCTTCCTAAAGCTGGCCCGGATTTTTCCCATGACCTTTCAGTTTGTCTTCCATCTTCAAGTGCACAGTATCATCATAGGAATCACCTCAGCATTTGAAGCCCATGCATTCATTCTTTATAGAAAATGATTCAGTAAAGGAATGTGATGTATTCTGGTAACTACCTACCTGGTGATATTCACACCACCACCCAACCTTTTTTTCTTCTTAAAAAAATAGATCCTGGCTATTGTGGAAAAACAGTTCTTTTTTTAATAGCCTAAAGGAAATAACAGTAGAAGTGTCAATCCATAATAAATTATGTTATTAAAAGTATTAAAAAGTGATTTCCTGTTTGCGTAAAATACCATTCTGTTTCTCTTAATTTATAACTTTCAACATTGAAGTTATTTATGTAGATACACCACAGTCTAACAGTACATTACTCTTACTGCAGGTATCATTAATCATGTAATGAGACAAGTTGGAGTTCAACCTGTAGAACAATTTAGCCTCAAGGCTGAGGACCCAGTCAGTCTTCCATTTGATGTAAATAGAAAGTCTCTATAGACCACAGAGTAAATGCCAGTTTGAATGGTTCCATAATGTAATATATTTTCCCTTAAGAAAACCCTTCCTTCATAAAAAGAAAATCAACTTTTAAAATTCAATAATGCTCTCTTTTACCAACTTAGTTTTTCTCAGACATATTTATGGGTTTCACTTCAAATTATTACTCCAGAATCACTGCCATGATCAAACAAGCACTAGTATAAAAACAAATACTTCAGGGATTTGTTTCATCATGAATAATATCATCAGTGATAATGGGCATAACAACTTTATGAGCCATTGTATGGTCTTACAATTTGGAAATTAAATGACAAGCAAATGCGCCTTTCTTGGGACTTAGTTTATTTGATGCATATAATTACATTTTCAGGCAAATTGTCCTGTTCACTATATGAAGGTTGGATATGGTGTATGTAATTTTCATAACTGGATATTGGAAATAATTCACTTGGGGTTAATTATACAGAAAACTGAACATGTAATTTTTATTTGAGGCAATAAAGATATCTAATCTAAATATTTTTTCAAGATATTATAGACCATGTCATAGGCCAAGAAATATTTTATTAGTATAATGAGCAGTAATCATAATGGAAAGGGTTTGGAATCTTGATCCTTTCATAGATAAACTATGAGAATTAAGGCAGCATCTTCCATAAACAACTCCTGCTAGTCTCTGTGTGTTTCAGGAATGGAGTGTACCACTCAGTGGGGGAAAATCTAACTTTAAGTTAGTGAAAACTAACAGGGCATGTAGATGCATGTGAGAGTGAGCATAATCAAGTCTTTTATTCTTCTACTTCTAATCAGAAAAAAAGTTCAAATTCCATTATGACATAATTGTTCTAATAATATTGATCTCTTTCCCAAGTACAAGGCTGAATTAGATAATATTGCTTGCAATTCTGGCACATAATCCAAAAGGCCATTTATAGTTTCAGAGTGGATTAACTAAGAGTCATGCAACATTTGAGTGCCCTGAGTTGTGCTTTCTGACATCCACAGATCCATTAAAACACCCTGTTGCCCTATGACCACTCACCAATGACCTGTCCACTAAGAACCAACGAAATTAAATCCAAGCTTGCTCTCATCCAAGACAACCCCACTTCTCCATTTTCATGAGAGTATTGGAAACTGAAATGAAACACAGGGTCTTCTCATTTATTCTGTGAAGAGAAGGAGCAGGAGCAGTGCTTTTCAGAATTAGAATCAGTGTGAATGCAATTTGGCTTGGTTGTTTAAAATAGTACTTTGGAGGGAGTGGTCAAGATGGCCAACTAGAAGCAGCTAGTGTGCATGGCTTTCAGAAAGACAAATGGGAGGCGCGAGTAAATACAACACCTTCACTTGAAACATACAGGTACTCACACTGGGACTAATTAAGGAAACAATTGACCCATGGAGAACAAATAAAGCAAAACAGGACAATGGCCCACTTGGGAGAAACATGGAACCAGGAGAACTTCCCTCACCCAGGGAAGTGATGAGTGAATGTGCGATCCCCGGAAACCACTCTTGTCCCATGGATCTTTGCTACCCTCAGTCCAGGAGATCTCCTTTTGAACCTAGTCTACCAGGGCTTTCAGTCTGACAGACAGAGATATATGGAGTCTCAGTAGAGCAGCCACTCAGGAATGCATGGAGACCCTGAAGCCTTAGATGCTTGGGCTTTCCCGTAAAAGTAGCTACAGCTCTGGCAAAGTGGGAGGTTAAACCCCCATACATACCCCTAGGAAAGAAGCTGAATGCAGGGGGCTAAGCAGCAACAACCTTTAAGCCCCACTTCCGAAACACCTCACAAGATAAGACCCACTGGCTTGGAATTCCACTGGTAGTGGCATTGAACTTCCCTAGGAAGGAGATCCCAGTAGGAGGGGTGGGTTGCCATCTTTGCTGTTTGGGCACCTTACCCATTCCAGCCTTCAGGTTTTGGAGAGTCCAAGCCAACCAGGGGTAGAAGGGATCCTCCAGCATAGCACAGCTGCTTTACCAAAACGTGGCCAGACTGCTGCTTTAAGTGGGTGCCTGATGCCTTCCTCCTCACTGGGTGGGACCTTCCAACTGGGGCCTCCAGCCACTCCTGTCTGTTGTCTCAGACTGACAAAGATTTGTAATCTCCCTGGGATGATGCTCCCAGAAGGAAAGACAGGCTGCCATCTGTACTGTTTTACAGATTTTGCTGATGGTACCTCCAGGTACTGAAAAATCCAACACAACTAGGGACCGGAGTGGGCTCCAAGCATATTGCAGCAGCTTTATGGAAAAGTGGCCAGACTATTACACGGGCACTCATTCCCATATCTCCTCACTGGGCAAATCCTCCAGGTCTGGGCCTCCAACCACCCCCCAACAAAGCTATCATGCCTGTAGCAACTCAGCAACTCCTTGGACAGAGCCTCTGGGAGCAACTGAAAGCCTCTCTGCCACTGCCTCTGCAGTGAAACTGCCCTTGCCACCCTCGGACTAACAAAGGAGCAAAGACCCTAAGTGCCTTATCCACACCTCCAACAAGCTGCAGTCCACCCAAGGAGAGGAGGCCAATCTATCTCCCAAGAGTCTCATGCAGCTCCCACTGCTTGTCACTAGACAGGGAATCCCTGTCTTGGGCCCACAGCACAGACCCTTCATCCCGTGCTGATCGCACTGAGCAATTGCTGACCTTCATCTCTCTTGGGTGGAGCTCCAAGGAGACAAACAAATGACCCTTAGCCACAACCACTACTAAGATCCCTCTCTCTGCAGCTTCCAAGTTGAGGAAATAACATATACACTGAGATTGCTGCAGAACTGCAGTGGACAGCCCAGGAGTGCCAAGTCACAATCCACAGCTAGCACTCAAGTGGAAGAGGAACCCACACTTTCAGAGCATTGAGAGGGAACATGGCTGCAATGGTGAGGAAACATAGGGGAGCCACACAACAAAGCAAGAGTCTACTAACTGACCAATAAGCCTAAGTGTCATCTGCTGGATCACATCTCAAGCTTCAACACTAAAAATACCTCACTAATATACCCCCCTCTGAAACCAGAGACAAGAAGTCAGCTTCAAATAAAGACCCTACACAAAGCAATGGCTCTGTGAAAACATGCAGAAATGAAGTCTACTGGCTGTACTCAATCTATACTGCAGTTATAAGAACACCCATGGGCAGAGATGGGAAAGAACCAACACAAGAACTCTTAACTCTTAACTCAAATGGCCAGAGTGTCGTATGTCCTCCAAACAACTGCACCAGTTTTCCAACAAGAGTTCTTAACCAGGCTGAACTGTCTGCAATGACAGAAATAGAATTCAGAATATAGATAGGAACAAAGATAGTTGAGATTCAGGAGGATGGTAAAACCCAATCCAACAAAAATTAAAATGACAATAAAGTGATAGAGGAGCTAAACGATGAAATAACCAGTTTTTTTTTTAAAGAGAACGTAATGGGTCTGATAGAGCTGAATAACACAATACAATAATTTCACAATGTAATCACAAGTATTAACAGCAGAATAAACCAAGTGGAGGAAAAAATCTCAGAACTTGAAGATGGTTTCTCTGAAATAAGAGAGTCAGACAGAAATAAAGCAAAAAGAGTAAAAAGGATGAACAAAACCTCCAAGAAGTATGGGATTATGTAAAGAGGCCAAATCTCTGAATCATTGGCATCCCTGAAAGGGAGGGGGATAAAGCAAACGACTTGAAAAATGTATTTCAGGATATCATCCATGAAAACTTCTGGATGGTTGCTAGAAGGGCCTTCTAGCTAGAAGGGCTTGCTAGAAGGGCCTTCTAGCTAGAAGGGCTTGCTAGAAGGGCCCACAGTAAAATTCAGGAAGTATAGAGAACTTCTGCAACATTCTACCCAAGAAGATCATCCTCGAGATGCATAATCATCAGATTTTCAAGGGTTGAAATGAAAGAAAGAATGTTAAAGGCAGCTAGAGAGAAAAGACAGGTAACCTACAAAGGGAACCTCATCAGGCTAACAGTGGACCTCTCAGCTGAAATCCTACAAGCCACAAGACATTAGAGGCCTATGTTCAACATTCTTAAAGAAAAAGGTCTTCAAGGAAGAATTTCATATCCAGCCAAACTAAGCTTCCTAAGTGAAGGAGAAATAAGACCCTTTTCAGATAAGCAAATGTTGAGAGGATTCATTACTACCAGAAATGCCTTACACAAGGTCTTGAAAATAACCCTAAATATAGAAAGGCCACTACCAACAAATAAAAAAACACACTTAAACACACAGACCAGTTATCACTGTAAAGCAACCACACAAACAAGCCAACACAATAACCAGCTAACAGCACAATGACAGGATGAAATCCATGCCTATCAATACTAACCATGAATGTAAATGGGCTAAATGCCCCCACCTTAAAGGCACAGAGTAGCCAGTTGGATAAAAAACAAGACCCTATGGAATCCTGTCTTCAAGAGACCTATATCATGCATAATGACAGTCATAGGCTCAAAATAAAGGGATGGAGGAAATCTATCAAGCAAACAGAAAACAGAAAAAAGGAGGGGTTATAATACTAATTTCAAACAAAAGAGATTTTAAACCAACAAAGATGAAGAAAGACAAAGCAGGGCATTATATAATGGTAAAAAGTTCAATTTAACAAGAAGACCTAACTATCCTAAATATATATGCACCCAAAACAGGAGCACCCAGATTCATAAATCAAGTTCTTAAAGACCTACAAAGAGACATAGACTCCCACACAACAATAGTGGGAGACTTCAACACTCCACTGACAGTATTAGACAGATTATGGAGGCAGCAAATTAACAAAGATTTTCAGGACCTCAATTCAACATTGGATCTGATAGACCTTTACAGAATGCTCCACTGAAAAACAACAGAATATACAGTTTTCTCATTTCCACATTGCACATACTCTAAAATCAACCACACAGTTGAACATAAAACAATCCTTAGCAAATGTAAAAGAACTGAAATCATACCAAACACATTCTTGGACCACAGCACAGTAAAAATAGAAGTCAAGACTGTGAAAATCACTCAAAATCATGCAATTACCTGAAAATTAAACTACACTCTCCTGAATGACTTTTGGGGAAATAATGAAATTAGGCAGAAACCAAGAAGTTCTTTGAAAATAATGACAACAAAGATACCACATACCAGAAGCTCTGGGACATAGCTAAAGCAGTGTTAAGGGGGAAATTCATAGCAATAAATTTCCACATCAAAAAGACAGAAAGATCTCAAATTAACAACCTAACTTCACAACTGAAAAAAATTAGAGAAGCAAGAACAAATCAACCCCAAAGCTAGCACATGATGAGAAATAACGAAAATCAGAACTGAGCTGAAGGAAATCAAGACGTGAAAAACCATCAAAAGATCAATAAATCCAGGACTTGGTTTTTCGAAAAAAATTAATAAAGTAGGTCACTAGCTAGATGAATAAAGAAAAGTGAGAAGCTCCAAATAAACACAATTAGAAGTGACAAAGGGAATGTTACTACTGATTCCACAGAAATAAAAACAACTATCGGAAACTATGAACACCTCTACACACACAAACTAGAAAACCTAGAAGAGATGGATCAATTACTGGACACATACCCTCCCAAGACTAAGGATTTGATTCCCTGTATAGACCAATAATGAACTCTGAAATTGAAGTGGTAATAAATAGCCTACAAACTAAAAAAATGCCTGTGACCTGACAGATTCACAGCTAAATTCTACAAGATGTACAAAGAAGATCTGGTATCATTCCTAAAGAAATTAATCTAAAAAAAATGAGGAAAAGGGACACCTCCTGAACTCATTCTATGAAGTCAGAATCATCTTGATACCAAAATCTGGCAGAGACAAAATAAAAAAAGAAAACTTGGGGACAATATTCTTGAAGAACATTGATGCAAAAATTCTCAAGAAAATACTTGCAAACTGAATGCAGTGGCACATCAGAAAGCTAATCCACCACAATTAAGTAGGCTTCATCCCTAGGATATGACTCATCACATACACAGAACTAAAGACGAAAACCACATGATTATCTCAATAGATGCAGAAAAAGTTTTTGATAAAATTCAGCATCCTTCATGTTAAAAACTCTCAATAAACTAGGTATTGAAAAAACATACCTCAAAATAATAAGAAACATCTGTGACAAACCCACAGCCAACATTATACTGAATGGGCAAAAGATGGAAGCAGTCCCCTTGAAAACTTGCACCAAGTATGCCCTCTCTCACCAATTCTATTCTACATAGTATTGGAAGTCCTGACCAGAGCAATCAGGCAACAGAAAGAAATAAAGTGCACACAAATAGGAAGATAGGAAGTCAAACTATCTCTGTTTGCAGACAACATGATGCTGTATCTAGAAAACCCCATAGTCTCAGCTCAAAAGCTCCTCTAGCTGATGAACAACTTCAGCCAAGTTGCAGGATACAAAATCAATATACAAAAATTACTAGCATTCCTATACCCCAACAACAGCTGAACCAAGAGCCAAATCAGAAAGGCAATTTCATTCACAATTTTCACAAAAAGAATAAAATACTTAGCAATATAGCTAACCAGAGAGGTGCAAGATGATCTCTACAAAGAGAATTATAAAACACTGCTCAAAAAAATTAGAAAAGACACAAGCAAATGAAAAAACATCCCATGCTCATAAATAGAAAGAATTAATATCATTAAAATGGCTATATTTCCTAAAGCAATTTAGAGATTCAATGCTATTCCTATCAAATTACCAACGACATACTTTACAGAACTAGAAAAAATTATCTTAAAATTCATGTGGAACCAAAAAAAAAGCTCAAAGAGCCAGGGCAATTCTAAGCAAAAAGAACAAAGCTGGAGACATCATGTTACCCAACGTCAAACTATTCTGAAAAACTATAGTAATCAAAATAGCATGATACTGGCACACAAACAGGCACATAGGCCAGTGGAACAGAATAGAAAGGCCAGAAATGAGGCTGTAAATCTATGATCATCTGATCTTTGACAATAGTAAAGACATGGAATCAACCTAAATGCCCATCAATGACAGATTAGAAAAAGAAAATGTGGTACATATACACCATGGAATACTATGCAGCTATAAACAAGAACTAGATCACGTCTTTTGTGGGAACATGGATGGAGCTGGAGGCTATTATCCTTAGCAAAATTAACACAGGAACAGAAAACCAAATATTGCATGTTCTTACTTATAAGTGGTAGCTAAATGGTAAGAACTTACGAACACAAAGAAGGAAACAAGAGACACTGGGGTCTACTTGGGTGGGAAGGTAAAGAGCTGGGAGAAGAACAGAAAAGATAACTATTGGGTACTGGGCTTAATACCTGGGTGATGTCAATAATAATATGTACAACTAACCCCCATTACATGCGCTTACCTATGTAACGAACCTTCACATGTGCCCCCAAACCTAAAATAAAAATTTTTTTAAACTAAATAAAATAATGCCTCTTTACCTTAAAACCATTCATTTGGATTTTGGAATAGTTTCATAACTGAGAAAAAACTTTTAGAAAGGAGAAACTATTAAGTAAACTAGTTCTCCATGATATCCCCTTTTATTGGGTAGACTTCTTTGTATATAAAACTAAAAATGTGTCTGAGTTTTTCAGGGCCAAATAATATCACAAAAAGAATCTTTCAAATCATGAAACAATAATATTTGAAGTAATTCTTCTTCTTTCTTTCTTTTTTGGTTTTAATTGCTTTTTAGGTAGGTGATTGAAATCACTAAGTATGCCTGGATTTTCCAGTGTAAATAAATATTAATTTTGAACTTACAGAAAAACAAATTTCACTTTTTCGTCTAAATATTCAGTTATTGTATTTACTGGGAAATTTCCAGGAATGTTGCTATAACAGAAGGCTTTTAGCAAAAAGATTTATTTCTTTGAAGTAAGTATTAAGGAAAATATTCTGTATTGCTATCTTTAATACAAGCATGTTTAAAGGCTTATCTAAATTCTTCTTCGACTTCACTAATATATGAAGTAGAGCTCTCCTATTCACTATTCCAGAGTATGGTATTATAAAGACAGATTTTACTCCTCATTCTTATAATAATGATAATATTTAATATGTCAGGCATTTTGCTAAACATTTCACATGTGTTTCACCTAGCATTATGGGATACTTACTATTCTAGCCCCGTTTAACATATAAGTACCTTGAAAGTTGGAAATGGTATGTAACTTCCCAAAGACACAGGCAGGGAAAGGCAGAGCAGAGCCTTGCTCTTCACTTCTCTGGGACTCGGTTTCTTCGTCTGAAAAATAAGGTTGTTGGACTGGATTTCTTTTTATTATAAAATGTCATTATTCTGGGATTTTCAGAGACCCTTCAAAATAACTCAGAGCCATCTACATAAAGTAGTTTGGCTTACATAAAACTGAGATGTTATGGATAACTCTAGATTTTCATCATTCTAAGCATCTTAAAGGTCTTGATAAATTTGTTGTTAAAGTCTCATTACAGATATTTGAGGTCAGGCATGGTGCCTCAAGCCTGTATTCCCAGAACTTTGGGAGACCAATGGGGAAGAACTGCTTGAGCCCAGAAGTTCAAGATCAGTCTGGACAATGGAGCAAGATCCTCGTCTCTCAAAAAAAAAAAAAAAAAAAAACCCGCCAGGTGTGGTGGTGCATGCCTGTGGTACTAGCTATTTGGGAGACTGAGGTGGGAGAGGATCCCTTGAGACCAGGAGTTAGGCTGCAGTGAGCAATGATCACCCCACTGCACTCTAGCCTGTCCCCCAGCCTGTGTCAAAACAAAAATATTTGATAAAGGATTTCTGCTCTCATGCTTTTTTATTGATTTTTATTTTTTTTTGTTCTATCTTTAATGAATTGTCAGGGCCCAGTGAGGAAACAGAACAGATTGATGAATCTACAAATTAAGATCAGGTTGGCTGGGTGTGGTGGCTCACGCCTGTAATCCCAGCACTGTGGGAGGCCGAGGTGGGCGGATCACGAGATCAGGAGTTCAAGATCAGCTTGACCAACATGGTGAAACCCCATCTCTACTAAAAATACAAAAATTAGCCAGGCATGGTGGTGTGTGCCTGTAATCACAGCTACTCAGGAGGCTGAGGCAGGAGAATTGCTTGAAACCAGAAGGCAGAGGTTGCAGTGAGCCGAGATCGTGCCATTGCACTCCAGCCTGGGCAACAGAGCGAGACTCCATCTAAAAAAGAACAAAAAAAATTAAGATCAGGCTGAAGAAGTGGTCTTTCTAGCTGTGTTCAGGCCCCAAGCTCTAGCCTTTCGGCAGGTCGTCTACCTTTCAATCCAGAAATTAAATTTCACATGGTATCCACAGCTCTTACATTTGATCTAAATATCTCCTCAGATCCTGGTATGAGGAAATAGATTCAGATCTTATTTGATTGATTAATATACAAAGGGTTAATCAGGAGTACTAAAAACAAATGTCAAGTCAAGGCAATAATCAGGAAGCAGTAAATATCATGGTTTAGAAGTAAGCAAGGCTAGGGCTGCTAAGTTTCATATGAATCCGTTTGTTGCAAAACATCTAAGATGTCTATTATGTATAAATTGTTCATTTCATTCAGTGTTTTTTTTTTACGTTGCATTCTTATATGTCTCTCTTTTTTGCACAGATCCTCTCTTCACACTTGGAGTGTAAGTAATTTTAACAAAGGCAAAAAAGATCAGCCACTGTTGTTTATTGAACTACCATGTATTACATACTTTTCTATTTATTCTGATTTAAATCTTTAGACAATGTTGTGAGGACAGGAGTATTGTACTCATTCACCAAATCTCTTAGACCATTCAGAGTGCTATAACAAAATGTCTTAGACTGAGTAATTTATAAAAAATAGAAATATATTGCTTACAGTTTTGGAGGCTGGAAAGTACAAAAATAAAGTGCCAACAGATTTAGTATCTGGTGAGGGCTTACTCTCTGCTTCAAAGCTGTTGCCTTAATGCTGTGTCTTCACATAGTGAAAGGGACAAACAAGCTCTCTCAGGCCTCTTTATTTATTTATTTATTTTGAAACGTAGTCTTGCTCTGTCGCCCAGGCTGGAGTGCAGTGGCGCAATCTCTGCTCACTGCAAGCTCCGCCTCCCGGGTTCACGCCATTCTCCTGCCTCAGTCTCCCGAGTAGCTGGGACTACAGGCGCCTGCCGCCGCGCCCGGCTAATTTTTTGTATTTTTTAGTAGAGACGGTGTTTCACCGTGTTAGCCGGGATGGTCTCGATCTCCTGACCTCGTGATCCACCCGCCTCGGCCTCCCAAAGTGCTGGGATTACAGGCGTGAGCCACCGCTCCCCGCCTCTCAGGCCTCTTTATAAGGGTACTAATCTCACCCGTGAGGGTGAAGCCCTTGTGACCTAATCACCTTGTAAAGGCCCCACCTCCTAATAGTATTTTAATATGTAAATATTGAAGGGACACACACATACAGACCATAGCACTAAGTGACAAAACTGTGGCTCACAGAAGTCCATTATCTTTCCATTGTGTCATGATATGTATTCCTATATATAATTGTTTTCAGTTTTTAGAACTTACCTAAGCCTATAGCAAAATTATAAATGTAACATTAGAGTTCACAATATCTTAGACATTATCTTGCCTAATACCTTCCTTTAGAAATAGAGTCTGAGGCATGAGGACGTTAAGTGAGTTGCTCAAAATGGATATTTAACAAACACTTGTTGAGTGACTGAAGAACAGAAAGCAAAAGGAGAATTTACTTTATCTGCAATGAGATCTGATTCTATGAAACATAGATACAAGCCTATTGGGGGCAAAAATGTATGGGACATACTTTGATGAAAACATCCTTGGAGGTTACTGAATACCGGGATTATTTCAATTTAAGTTGTGACATAAATGGATTTAAAACTGCATTTCCATTCACTTTTGACAATAAGTCAGACAGCCTTGATTAAAGTGAAATGCTACACAAATGAACTCAAATGTAAGTGAAAATTTTCTGTAAACTATAGGAGAGCAAGAGCAACATTAAACACAGCAGTTTGAGTTTACAGGACTTTTTGTAAAATCCCTGGGCTATAAAACAAAATAAGCAATGATAATAAATAGTAATAGTAAAACTAATAGATCTATTATTGACATAATTTAATATTTCTCCCTCAGACAAAGATAAATAAAACATATTCATTGTTGCTCTTTGCTTCACACACTGTGCTAAAGAAAATACACTTTCCTGGATAGAGTTTCTTGTTTTTCCTTTTTGTTTATGTGTTAAGTTGCAGACAATGGAAATGTTTTGGCTCAGCTAAAATTTTCAATCTAGCCATTTCCATTGGTGAACAACACAGGATACAGCCAGGCAGTTAAGATTGCTGACAGCGTCCGTGTGCTTTCTTCCAAAGATCCTGTTCATAACCAAACCTCAAAGTTGGGCAAAAATAAGTGAAGTCTGGGCCCTTGAAATTTCATTTTTTCCATTAGGGAAAAAAAATGTCACATACAACCTCTATTGGAAAGCATTTGAAGCACTCTGGGACAAGCTTTTGTGAAATCGGTTCTTGCTAAAATTCATAAGCAGAACTGGAGCTAGATTGTATAAAATACTAAGGGTGGGGAAAGATAAATGCAACCAGAATACCCAGTCACGGCTTTGGGTTGCAGATTTGGGAACCACTGTGTCTTTCCACTGGAAGTAAAATGCCTGTGCTATTACTATTGTGAGAGAAACTGACTAACGACATCTCTGAGTTAGCAGGGCATATGACTGGGACCACAGAATTATAGTGTAGTGGGCCTGCCTTGCCTCAGGGTTTTCAGCTCTTGTGTTCGAAGTGTTCTTGTAAAATAAAAACATCCTGCACTGAAGCTAAAATAAATAAAGATGTATTTTGAATGGAACACTCACTCTTCTTGCCTTCCTTTCCAACTTCCCTGCCTGTCTAAAAGAAAAATATTTTTTATTTGTTGGTGACATAGAACCATGATTAATTGCTTCTAACACCAAAAATAGAACAGTAATCCTGCGACTCTCAGACACTGCAAAGCTGGTCTTGTTCATAAACTCAGAAGAGGCTCAGAAAATGTCTCAGAATAACCCATGATCCTGGCAGCAACAATTTTCCAACATAAATCTCAGTAGGAAATATGGCTTTCTGCTCTGTTCCTTTTACTATTCCTGTAGCTTGTTGCCTGAACTGGTAGAATTCTTCTGTGCAATCGCCCTACCATGGCTGTGAAAATAATGTTTCTACTTCCCAATTTTGTGTGTATGAGAACTAGAGAACAAGGTGATTGATGCTAATTCTCATCACCATTCCTACCTCACCTGTTTTTATTTAGTTTTCATGACCAGAGAAAAGATGGTAGACAGACCTAGGAACACCATAAACATGGAGCATTGTGCTTGGAGCATTAGGAATTAGATTGCCTTCACTAACTTAATTATAGCATGGTATACAGCACAGGGAAGAATGGAGCCCAGTTTAGATAAATGACTGCCTTTTCCATCTAAAGTTGGTCTATGAATATGGGTTATTAGCAATAAAGAACCAGTCTTGGGATAGATGTAATTCACAGATTCCACTAATAATGCAACATCCATAATGGGGTTTCGATACAAAATTCTCCTCATTCTCTCAGCTGCCACTGCAGGTTGTGTTTACCCCAAATCCACATGTCCCCAGGATCACCACAATTAGTATTTACATAGAAAAACAAAACTTCCTACTTGACTTGGACTAACGCTTCCAATGTGAGGGTCTGTTTTCGTGCAAGATTTGTGATCCTTCCTAGTGTAAGCCTGGCATTTTGGATGAAGTGTAGGATTTCCAGTTCACTAGCAAGTCTTTCTGTAATGTGAGCTGTCAGAGATTTTAGTCTCTACTTTAGTGCACAGAGGCGTAAGTCTGATTTGATGATGTGCCTCTTCTGTGAAGCTTTCAAATTCTCATTGATGGTTGCTGCTCTGCTGGCTTCTTTGCCCTCCCCTCACTTGATGGCACTTCCTTTAATAATTCAGGAAGCTTCTTGGTCAATAATTGCATGTTCATATCACAGGTAGTAAAATTGTTCTAAATTTTCTTCGTTAGTGAAAATGGCATGATTAAGACTTGTCTAGCACTCTACTTTTATTGAAAAGAGACATATACGCTAAAATGGAGTTGTTATAATCTGTCTTTTAAAAAGTAAGCAAAAAACTTTCTTAAAACTTTTGGCTTTAAAATGAGAGAATACAGCAAATTCAACAATCCATTCAGATTAAGTTAACTGCTTTTTTGTGTTTAAGTAGTCCAAATGGAACTTTCACATGTTTTCATTATTCAAACCCCTGTGACATTATTTCCCAGCAATTATGTACACTGCAGTTACGAGTGAAGAATAGGTCAACAGGATACCCTGACAAAGTAATGGAGAATGAAAAATAATCTGATTTGTCTCACTGGGGATGCTAGTTATATTAATTAGAGGAGGAGAGTCTTCTCTCTGTAGTTTCATTTTATCACGCTTTAAAGCAGACTGGGCTCCCCAGATTCAAATATAGAATTGCAAACTTTTTCTTCATTTTGGTTCCTGAAGCTGAGTCTTTGGTTTCAGATCACTTGTGTGTGAATCCTGGTTTTTCCTTGTTCTAGCTACATGCCCAAGTTACTTAACCTCTTTTAATCCTTAAGAGGTCAAGTTATTTCACCTCTTTTAATCTCCATCTATTCATTTGTGAAATGGAGATGACTGTAGTTCCTAATACATAGGGCTGTACTGGGGATTAAATGAGAAATGAGATGAGATCATCTTTATCATGATACAGGGAACAAGTAAGTGCTCAATAAATGTTACCTGTGGTTATAGTGTATTTCTGCACATATGGGTTTGTGAATTTCACCACTCAGGTAGCTGAATCAGTTTGAAAAGGACTGTCTTAAAATCATCAATGCATAAAGAGAGACGAATGATGAAGTGAAAAAAATAATCAAAGATATTTTAGAGCAACCTAGTAACAGTGTTTTATAATAAGTTTTGCTGTGGCCTCCCAGAGTGAATGTAATTTAAATTTTCTCTCATCTTTTTTGGCAATGAACAATAAGTTCATAATTTCTATTTTCCGTGGCTTCTCCATTTAAGTCTGACTTGGTAGGTCAACATTGATTATTTAAAAAATGGTTGAGCAAATTTATTTCTATTTTTTTGTTAATAACCTTATAGAGAATTTAAATCTATGGTCCATACTTCAAATTTGCTTTCTAGGATCTGGCTGATTAGAGCAGGAAAACAATCTTAAGCTCTTTCTTGACTAGTGACAGATTGCTGCTAATCTTCTCATTATATATAGCACATACAAATTTGCTGCTAAGCATTCATATATACATATATATACACATACACAACAATAAATATTCATATGTACACACACATTTATGATGTGAAAACTAATCCCAGAGTCAGTTTTGGGGTAAAGATAGTGTTTCAGTAAGATGTGAATTAAAACCATGGAAGCAAAGTTCTGTGTTAAAAAAAAAGGGGAGACTTTTTTTTAAGTAGCACAGAACAATAACAATAAAAACAACTGAATCTCACTAGAGCTAAAAATAGGTTTAGCGGTTTCATTCATTCAACATTTTTTTCCTGAATGCCATCTATGTGCCAGGCATTATGCTAGGATTTGGGAGTAAAAAATGAAAAGGATCTATTCACAAACATCTGTGTAAGAGACTTCCCAAGTAATGTGCCCAAGTTTATGCCTGATGAATAAGGCCAGAACATAAGTTCTCTGTCTCCAGAGTCCATGTTTTTCCCACAATACCAGGTTGCTTATTTTAGCAGACACTGTTGATGCCCTGTACCGATCCTCTCAGATCCCTTTTCCCAACTCTATGTGCTCATCTCCTAACTTCTGCATGTTGTGCTAGTAAAAGTTTGCACCTTTGACCTGAAAAGATTGCTCTTGGACACTGCAGTCTCCTTGCCTGAACAGAGTAAGAAATGTCTACAACTGGCCTTCCTCACGTTTCCCTAACACCCAAAAAACCTGGAGTGGCACATAGCCAATGATTGGTGTGGTATTATAAAAGTCCATTTCCTTTGCCACGAGGTAAAGCAAACTCTAAAGTGTAACTCATGCTCCAAAACTCTCCATAGGATGAGGTTGAGCCCTCACCTGAAATTTCTTGGTTAATTTTCCTTGTCTATCTTGCTGTCCCTACTTTATTACTGATTTTTTCCTGGGCATATTCTCACCACACAAATTTTCTCTTAGGGAGTGCTCCTGGAAGATTCTGAGTAAAGACATCTATATTTTGAGCTTTTTGTTTGTTTGATATTTTACTGTGGGTTTGTCTAAGTTTTAACTGAAAGATCATGGAAATAAGTTTTTATGAGATTTTTAGATCACATTGTGAAAATTAAATCAAAATTCATCATTTGACATGATAATTTAATTAATAAAATATGAGTGTAGTTTATTTAGTGACCTTGACCAAGTCATTTTATCTATTCAGGTATCAACTTGCTATAGATCGAATGTTTGTATCCCCGTAAAATTCATGTCGAAATCCTTACCCTCAATAAGATGGTATCTGAGAGTGGGGCCTTTAGGAAGTATTTAGGTCATGAAGGGGAGCCCTCATGAAAAACATCTTTACCCTTACTAAAGAGGGCCCAGAAAGCTGCCTTGCCCATTCAATAATGTAAAGGCACAGTGAAAAGATGGACATCTATGAAGCACGAAGTGGACCATCACTACACATTGAATCTGCCAATATCTTGATCAAAGACTTACAGTCTCCAGAATTGTAAGAAATAAATTTCTGTTGAATGTAAGTCACCCAGTCTATGCTGTTTTTGTTATAGCAGCCCATCTGGACTAAGGCAAGATTTTCCTTGTAAATATGAGTGTTATTTAGTCAAGTAGTCATCAAGGTCCTATAAGCCTCTAAAATTCAGTGAGCTACTAAATCTTTCTTAACCTATAATCATGTCAATTCACCATTTTGATGGAACCTATATACTTGAGGCAGATAATTTTGTGCTACCCAGTCACAGTCAGTTTATTAGCAGTTGATAGTTAAGGTAGACTACCTCTGTGTGAATATACAACCTGTGTAATGTAACATTTAATAACCTTTCTGCTTTAGAAGATATTATGGTTTTTATAAATACACATGTGTGGCATAGGATATAAATAACCTAGTGAATGTAAATACGATACTAAGTTCTTTAACATAAAGTGGCATGTGAACATTAAATATAATATGTACCATGTCATTCATGACACACAAAAATGATAGTTTAAATAACAGGCTATATGAACAGTATTCACATTTGTTTTGTTGTGTTTTGTTTTTTGAGACAGAGTTTTGCTCTCGTTGCCCAAGCTGGAGTGCGATGGCACGATCTCAGCTCACTGCAACCTCTGCCTCCTGGGTTCAAGTGATTCTCCTGCCTCAGCCTCCCAAGTAGCTGGGATTACAGGCCCCTGCCACCACGCCTAGCTAATTTTTTGTATTTTTAGTAGAGATGGGGTTTCACCATGCTAGCCAGGCTGGTCTCAAACTCCTGACCTCAAGTAATACACCCGCCTCAGCCTCCCAAAGTGCTGGGATTACAGGTGTGAGCCACTGCTCCCGGCCCAGTATTCACATTTTGACATTTTATTTTCATCTGAGTAACAAGGAAAAAGTAATTTAATGCTTTAATTTACCTTTTTTAATAGAGCAGATTTCCAGTAACAATCATCAAGTTATACTTTTATAGAACAGTAAACACATTAAAAGAACTGTTGTTAAAATTCATGTGCTACATTTGCAAAAAAAAAAGTTTCTATTTCAGCTTTTTCAATTAATGTAGCATGGTCATTGTCAATTTTAAGTGTTTAATATGTTATTGAACATGTCATATGAAACAGTATAATTCAGAATTTTACCCATTGTAAAGTACCTTTGCTTCAAAACGAGGCATAGTGCAGAATCAAATAGTGGAAACAGTGAATAATAAAACATTAAATTTCTGGCTGACATTAATTTCACCTATTCCTTGAATAATCTATTTATTCAATCCACAAATACTTAAGAAATAAAGCAACAAAATATATTTTACATTAATAATATAGTCCATGAGAGAGGATAAAGGGAATGAAATGAATGCATAAAAGATATACTCTA
Source organism: Homo sapiens (assembly GCF_000001405.40). Taxonomy (NCBI): domain Eukaryota; kingdom Metazoa; phylum Chordata; class Mammalia; order Primates; family Hominidae; genus Homo; species Homo sapiens. The sequence goes on from NC_000023.11 coordinate 35,052,240, forward strand.
CCTTACTCTCATATTCCACTCTCAGAAAAATAATATAAATAAAATAAACCTAAAAGGCTGTAAAATAATTCCATGAAAAAATTGATTAGGTGATGAGCTTGTTTTATCTGAAGGCAGCATAGGAATAAAATAAAAAAAGTTCTCAAAGGACAAATGGAAAATCTCTCACTGGACGTTTTTTTGGAGGCTTTGACTATTGGCCATCAAGACCACATTATCATATTTTGTGTATGCTTCACAACACACAATTAGGCAATTTTTAAGGCAATTTTTTAGGTCACCACAACTAGAAATCACATGAACTCTGCTCAGCAATAAGGTGTTCCCAGAACAGATTTTCAATGCACTACTGGATTTCTCCATTCAGCTGGATGACCCTGAGGACTGACCACTGTTAGCCAGCAGGTTGTCCAGCTTTTTATTCCAGTCGCAATAAGGTGATAGTGTTAACCATGAAAACTTGAGAGGCACCCCATCCTCCTTCCAATTACAGCCTGTACCACCTTGCTCGGGACCTCTGCTCCTAGTTAGCAAGGAGGGCTGCAACAGTTGTTATTGCTTATTCTGAAAGAAATGTAGAACTTGACAGCAGCCGTCTGAGTTTGGGTCAGGAAGATGCTCTTAGGACCAAAGCAGACTTCTTTACACACAGCTCAGTTTCCAGGAAGTCGCCACAGATGTGCCCAATATCCCAGGTTCCTGTCACTCAATCAGCAGAAGCTACCATTATGCCTTTTGTTCCTACTGGCAGAGGGAGGAGTATATTTCATCACTATGATCAGTAATGACTTGTGGACCATCCTTGAAGAGCAAGAAATGCAATGTAGAGGCAAGTCTATAATAGAAAGATACAGTATAGCAGTACTCAACCATTTTATTTATGTGCTTCTCACATTTCTTATGACCCATGGAAAGAATGGTCCACTGACTCTCACAAACAATACTTAGCAAACTAATCAGATATCTCAACACTCTTGGTATTCATGAAAATGTCTGAGGACAAATATGCGTGAGAGTTTTAACTAGAGAAGTAACCATATGCTATGGTTGGATATTTAACTGCTCCAAAACTCATGTTGAAATGTGATCCCCAATAGTGGAGGCAAGTTCTTTTTTTTTTTTTTTTTTTTGAGACAGAGTCTCACTGTGTCAGCCAGGCTGGAGTGCAGTGGCCCCTGATCTCGGCTCACTGCAAACTCCACCTCCCGGGTTCACGCCATTCTCCCGCCTCAGCCTCCCAAGTAGCTGGGACTACAGGCACCCGCCACCACGCCCGGCTAATTTTTTGTATTTTTGTAGAAGAGACGGGGTTTCACCGTGTTAGCCAGGATGGTCTCGATCTCCTGACCTCGTGATCCACCCACCTTGGCCTCCCAAAGTGCTGGGATTACAGGCGTGAGCCACCACGCCCAGCCTGGAGGCAGGTTCTAATGGGAAGTGCGTGGGTCATGGGGGTGAAGCCCTCATGAATAGATTAATGCCTTCCAGGGGGTGCGGGCAGAAGGTGAGGCAGAAAATGATGATGTAGAAGCTGCAGCAAGTTATCCACAAAATCCAACTAAGATAATTGATGGAGGTGGCTACACTAAATAACACATTTTCAGTCTAGACCAAACAGCCGTCTATTGGAGGAACATATCATCTAGGACTTTCATAGCTAGAGAGAAGTCAATACCCTTTGTTCCTGATGGAAGAGGGAAGAGTATATTTCATTGTTCTATTAGTTTCCACAAGAGCTGGTTGTCAGCAAGAGCTTGGCATCTGCCCTTTTTCGTGCTTCCTCTTTCCACGTGCTCTCTGTAGGCACTGACTCCCTTTGCCTTCTGCCATAAGTGGAAGCAGCTTAAGGATTTCACCAGATGCCCAGTCTTCCAGTCAGCAGAATCATGAGCCAAATAAACTTTTGTTTTTATAAATTACCCAGCCTCGGGTATTCCTTTTTAGCAATGCAAATGAACTAAAGTACCATCTATTTTACTTTTTTAAAAAGGTAGATCTCTACTGTCATACCACAAAGATATTATGGGTTTAGTTACAGACCCTGCAATAAAGTGAACAATGAAATTAAAAATTTCCAAAAATTTTTGTTTTCCCAGTGGATATGCAAGCTATGTTTGCACTATACTGTGCTCTATTAAGTGTGCAATAGCATTATGTCTAAGAAAAAAATGTACATACATTAATTAAAAATACTTTATTGAGAAAAAATGCTAATGATTATCTCAGCCTTCAGGTGAGAATCTTTTTGCTGGTGGAAGATTTTCCCTCAGTGTTGATGGCTGCTGACTGACAAGGGTGGTGTTTGCTGAGGGCTGGGGTAGCTGTGGCAATTAATTAAAACAAGACAACCATGAAAGTTGCCACATTGATGGACTCTTCCTTTTGTAAAAGATTTCTCTGTAGCACCTGATGCTGTTCGATAGCATTTTACCCATAACAGAAATTCTTTCAAAAATTGGAATCAATCCTCTCAAACCTTGCCACTATTTTATAAATGAAATTTATAAAATATTCTAAATCTTTTTTGTGTGTGTGTGGTTTCAACAACATTCACAGAATCTTCACCAGGAGTAGATTTCATCTTAAGAAACTGCTTTCTTTGCTCATCCATAAGAAGCAATCTTCATTTGTTCATATCTTCTCAAGACATTGTAGTAATTCAGCCACATCTTCAGGCTTCACTTCTCATTCTAATTCTCTTGCCATTTCCCGCACATCTGAAGTAACTTCCTCCACTAAAGTCTTCAACCCCTCCAGTCATCCATGAGAGCTGGAATCAACTTCTAAACCCTTCTTAATACTGATAATTTGACTTCTTCCCATGAATCAAAAGTGTTCTAAAGGGAATCTAGAATGGTTAATTCTTTCCAGAAAGTTTTCCGTTTGCTTTGCCCAGATTCATCAGAAGATTCACTATCTATGGCAGCTAAAGCCTTATGGAATGTATTTTTTAAATAATAAGAATTGAAAGTCAAAATTACTCCCTGATTCATGGGCTATGGAATGGATGATCTCCATCAGAGTTCTTGGGTGACTAGGCACAATGTCAATAAGCAGTAATATTTTGAAAAGAATCTTTTTGTTTTGAGCAGTAGGTCTCAATAGTTAGCTTAAAACATTCCGTAAACCATGATGTAAACAGAAATGCTATCATCCAGCTTTGGTTTTCTATTTATAGATCACAGGCAGAGTAGAGTTATCATCATTATTGAAAGCCCTTGAATTTTCAGGATTATAAATGGGCATTGACTTCAACTTAAAATCACCAGCTTCTTTAGTTGCTAACAAGAGAGTTAGCCTGTCCTTTAAGCTTTGAAGCAGGGGATTGACTTTTCTCTAGCTGTGAAAGTCCTAGATGATATGTTCCTTCAATAGACGGCTGTTTGTCAACACTGAAAATATGCCGTTTAGTGTAGCCACCTCCATCAATTATCTAAGCTAGATCTTGTGGATAATTTGCTGCAGCTTCTACATCAGCATTTTCTGCCTCACCTTGCACTTTTATGTTATGGAGATGGCTTCTTTCTATAAAGTTCCTGAACCTCTGCCAGGGTTCAACTTGTCTTCTGAAACATCCTCACCTTTTTCAGCCTTTATTAGAATTAAAGATAGTTAGGGCCTTGCTCTGGATTAGGCCTTGGTTTAAGAGAATGTTGTGGGTGGTTTTATCTTCTGTACAGACCATTCAAGCTTTCTCCATATTACAAATGAGACTGTTTCACTTTCTTACTATTTGTGTGTATATTGGAGTGGCACTTTTAATTTTGTTCAAGAACGTTTTCTTTGCATTCACACCTTGTCTGACTGGCACAAGAGGCCTAGTTTTGTCTTATCTTGGCTTTTGACATGGCTTCGTCACTAAGCTCAATAATTTCTAGCTTTTTATTTAAAGTGAGAGAGGTATGACTCCCTTTCATTTGAGCACCGAGAGGCCATTTTGGGGTTATTTAGTGACCTAATTGCAATACTGTCATGTCTCAGGGAAGGAGGCCCAAGGAGAGAGAGAAAGAGATAAGAGAAGGGCTGGTCAATGGAGCAGTCAGAACTCACACATTTATTGATTAAATTTGTCCTCTTATATGGGTACTGTTTTTGGTGTCTCAAAACAATTACTAGGTTGGCGCAGAAGTAATTGCCATTACTTTTAATTACTTTTAATGGCAAAAACCGCAATTACTTCTGTGCCAACCTAATACAATAATAACATCAAAGGTCACTGAACACAGATTATCATAGCAGATATAATATTAATGAAAAAGCTTGAGATATTGTGAGAATTGCCAAAATGTGATACCGAAACAAGAAGTGAGCACAGGCCGTTGGAAAAATGGTGCCACAGACTTCCTCAAAGTAGGGTTGCCCCAAACATTCAATTTGTAAAACATGCAGTATCTGCAAAGTGCAATAAAGTGAAGTGCAATAAAACAACGTGTGCCTGTATATAGACTGCTCATAAAATCTAGAAATATCAACAATATATAGAATGCCACCAAGGGCACCTCAATGCAAATAATGATGAAATAATACCTTTTTTTCAGACTCTAAGGTTAGTCTGAAGATTGATATGGAATGCTTTTCTAAATGGATTATTAATTGGCAGACAAAGCAAATAGCAAAACAATATGTACTTTACTATTGCATTTACATAAGTCAAGTTCACATTTACATTCATACAAAATTAACTTACAATTAGGTTATATAATAGTGGGCATGATGGAGAGGATTGAAGAGAAGGCACAAGAGAATGCCATTTTGACGACATTGTTTGAAATGTTCACAGTGAGAACATAGTCATAGAGCACCAGTTTAGTATTTTGATTCTGATCACTAACAAAATTTTAATTCTGACCAGTAACAACATTTTTGCAAAATTCTTCAGAACTTCCCTATGCTCCAGGCTCTCCATCCAGAAAATAACGATTTCTGAGGTTCTGTCCTACTTTAGTATTTTAATTGTTTATGGAGTGATCAGGAGTTAGGAGGCACACGTCAACCCAGCTGGCCCATGCTGTCTCTTAGAACTCTGCATTTGGTAATTATATAAAATGACACAATGTTTTCAACAGGAGAAAACATTGCTAAGAAAACTCCTTAATAATATGTCCACACATGACACTTCCCTCTAGCAGAGGGATGAGGCCCCAGCACTACTGAGTTTCAAGACTTTCAAGATAAGACACAGAGTGAAAAATGAGGCTACCACCAACGTGGAGCATGGGGGTTTCACAGATAAGATCCCTGACCCTCCTCCAGTCCCAGGAGACCCCAGAATGATTGAGACTGAGTTGCCCCCTGACTTCTGCCTTGTGTTTGCAGGGAGGTGTGAGACTTGTTCTGAGGAGTGCTGGTTCAGGTCAGCAGAGGGAGGAGTCCCAGACTCTGCCAGGAGTTAAGGTAAGATTCTGAGTGAGAACTGAGGTGACCACCCATTTCAGAAGGGAAGGGGTTACTCAGAACTCTGTTGTGACCTCTGGGAGGGTGAGAGTTTGTGGGTAGTGTCTTTCCTTGACTTTTGCTTCACTAGTCTGACAATGGCGAATGCCTTTATCTGAGAGGGGAGGCCTTATTCAGCAGAGAGAGGAATCTCAGACACTTCCAAGAGTCAAGGTAAGATGCTGAGTGAGATCTGAGTGGACCTCTACCCCCAAATGAAGAAGGCCCCTCACAACTCTGTCGTTCTCCCTGCAGAAAGGAGGAATGGCCTTAAGTGGTTTTTCTTGTCTTTTGCTTGGAGAGTGAGAGAATGGTGAGTACCATAGTCTAAGAAGTGTGACCTTCAGTCTGCAGAGGCAAGAATTTCAGCCCCTGCCAAACATCAAGGCAAGACACTGAGTGATGACTGGGGAACCACACACTCCAGAAGATCCAAAGAGCCCTGTCCCTGCTATCAGATCTGGTATCTGGTAGGGCATAGAATAGCTATCAGACTTTAGTGCTTTCTGGTTTTGTCTTTAGTAGTCTGAGGGTTGCCGTGTCAAGTCAGCAGAGGGAGGCATCCTAGCCCCTTTAAGGGGCAAAGTGATAACCCTGAGTGATGACCGAGAGAATCACATACCTCAGAACAGCAAAATCTGTACAGACAACTGCCACTTGCTGTCACCTCTGGGAGGCCCAAACAGGTATGGCCTAATGAGAAGCCCTCTCACTTCCTTCCTGTAGAATCTGTTGCCCCTCTGGCTTTCCTGGCTTAAAGGTTCTAGAAAAAGCTGTTGAGAGTCTGGGGTACTCCCTCAATTCCATCTACCTTAAATATCTCAGGGAAATTAAGAGCTCTTTCTGAGGTGATAGCTCTTGGGTCAGTAGAGGTGGGAGTCCCAGATACTCCCTTGGGTCACAGTGAGGATTCTGAACAAGGACAGAGGGAACCACTGACTGCAAAACGAAGGGATTCCACAGAGCCTCATATGTCCTGTGGTCAGCTCTGGGAATCTTTGTGCTGAGTTGACCAGCGGCACCCTGAAAAGCATCCTCATTTCCTCCTTTAGCTTCTTACAGGTCAGAACAGGAGACCTGTGAGGCTCTAGAGCACTGCCCTCAAGAAAAAAACTGCTGGAGGCAGCATTTATTGGAGCCACCAACCGTTGAGTTTACCAGATGAGGCCATTCACATCTTCCCTCTATCCCCAAGTTGGGCTTCACTGTCATCTAGCTTCCTGCCCACATTCCTGCCTGCTACCACCTTCAAGAGTAACCATGTCTCAGAGTCAGGAGAATCTGCATTGAACACGTGAACACCACCATGCCTGAAGTGAGACCCAGGGCCTAGAGGTTGTGCAGGTATCCAAGATTATGGAGGATACATTTCCCTCCTCCTCCCATTTTCTAATGCCTCGCAACCTGGAGGTGTTCTCTGCTGCTGAGACACCCTGTACACTCCAGGGTCTTCGAAATGCCTGTTCATCTTCCACTGTCAACACTGCCACTTCAACAAGCCAGTCAAATGAGAGCTCCAGCAGCCAAGAAGAGGAGGATAGTACAGCTTCTTTAGAGTCTTCACAAGACACTGAGAACCTGCCTATTGACCCTGTAGATGAGAAGTGACTGTGCTGATGCAGTTCCTTCTGCAAAAATATCAAACGAAAGAACTGATCACAAAGGCAGACATGCTGGATATTGTCATCAACGAGTACAAGGATGAATTTCTTGAGATCTTCAAGAGAGCTTCTGAGTGCATGGAGCTGGTCTTTGCTGTTGATGTGAAGGAGGTTGATCCCACCAGCCACAGTTACTCCCTTGTCAACAAACTGGGCCTCACCTATGATGCAAGGCTCAGTGGTGATGAGGACATGCCTAAGATTGGCCTCCTGATTATCACCCCGAGTGTGATCTTCATGAAGGGCAACTGTGCCTCTGAGGAGGAGATCTGGGAAGTGCTGAATATGGTGAACTTATATTCCAAGGGGAGATACTTAATCTTTGGTGAGCCAAGGAAGTCTATCACCAAAGATCTGGTGCAGGAAAAGTACTTGGAGTACTGCCAGGTGCCCAACAGTGATCCTCCATGCTATGAATTCCTGTGGGGTCCAAGAGCCCATTCTGAAATCAGCAAGATGAGATTGCTGGAGTTTTTTTTTTACCAGGATTCATGAGTCTGACCCCAAGTGCTTCCCATCTCAGTATCAGGAGGCTCTGAGAGATGAATCAGACAGAGCCCAAGCCACAGCTGCAGCTAGGGCTAGCCCTACTGCCATGGCCAAGGCAAGTTCCAGGACCAGGTTCAGCACCTTCTCCCACCCCTAGTGTAGTCTGAAGCAGATTCTTTATTTTTTCTTTGAAGAGAGTCATCAGCCTTCTAAGTAGTGGAGGCTTGAGGTGGGGCTGTAGGGGAGATAGTATATAACATCTTCATATCCCTGTTCTAGATGGTGAACTTGGAGGCTTTTCTTTTGGAGGGGGGCAGTAGATTTCAAATGCTGTTACTTTTAATATGACATTTCATTAGCTTCAGAATCTACATTTATGAATGACATTGTTCATATATTTATTACCATTTTTGAAGTTTAAGAATACAAGTTTTGCTGGTTTGTAAAATAAACTATGAAACAGATCATTTTATTTTTTTATTTGGGAAAAGATAATGCAGCATTATAATAGACATTTCCTTGCAACTGTGAACTCAGCAGCAAAGTAGTTGGGACAAAGAAAAAAAAACCTAAAAGATGGTCAATTCTTGTTTTTGCCTATCTCTTTTAGTTTTTCTGTGAAACTACATGATACATATATGCATTTGCTTAGCTTATTTAAGAATGTATAAGACATAAATCTTAATAAATCAGACCCTGTGTACATTGGTTCATTTATTTCCCAAACATTAAGTGAACATGTCTTTTTTGTAAAGCACTTTACTGGGGATGCTAAGAGAAGCAAGATGCACTACCTGCCCATAGAACTTTAGAGTGCAAGAGCAGCAGTCATATGAAGATGATGGTGAGTATCCTTTATTCAATACAAAATAAAAATTAAAAAAGAGTCAGGAGGTGTGGCAGGGTAGGGGGATCTATATGAGAGCGCTAAAATTTAAATACCCTGAGTCAAGGCAGGCAGAGGCCTTTGGAAACTGCAAGTCTTTCATTGGGGGTAATTTTAAATTAACCGGGGTAGTACACTAGATGAGGCTGTGGGAGTGACGAGCAGGGGCCGGACCCTCAGTGTTGAGATAATTAAGCCTAGAATGGAAAACTGTTGTTAGCAGTAGTTACTTTGAGATTATGCATAAACCAGATAGCACCTGAAACAAGAATGGTAGGTGTCCTGTGTGTTTGTCCCAGTGCTGTTGAAGACAAGACAGTGCACAAATTAGATATTTTATGCACATCGTGTTCAAAGAGTTTACGCAAAATAAGGGTGATACTTTCTTGAGGTGAGATACGCAGAAGTCACTGGACTGGAAGTCTGCCAAGGGCTGGGAGATCCAGAGTCCACTCCATTCAAAGAACATTTTAAATAGGTTATGTTGAATATAATTTGGCAACTGTAAGCATGGCCTACATTTTTTTGTTTGAGAGAATGGATGAAATCAGAGATGGGTTGCTGGAAGGGCAACTGGAGGGAGGAAAGGGCTTGGTTTTTGACACAATTTCTAGGGGATTTCAAGTGCACTTATTTGGGAAATACTCCCCCAAAGCCAAATTAAATAATATATACTGTAATGGTGAAGATTTACTGAAGATTTCATGCTAGGTAAAGTTTTTGGCTGATTTGGTGTGCCATGTCCTAGAGTATTGAATATCTTCTGACATCTCCTGGATAAACAAATCCCAGATGAGAAAGTGGTTGTGTCTGTGGTCAAAAATAATCATAGTACTAACTGCCAGTCAGTGAAGACCCAATACATTCCAGATGCTTTGGCAGATGCTTTACCTACAGTATGTGCATTCCAACAGTCTTATATACAAGCCAGGATTTATCAAGACTATCTAACAGAGGAAGATGGTAAGACACCGAGAGCTTGGTAGTATGTCCTATTTCACATGGTATGTGAAAGAGCTAGCACTGGACCTCTGGTCTGAATTTTTCTAAAGCCAGCACTGTTACACTCCTCCCAGCCTGAAGGTGACATTCTGTCTGTTAATTCATTCCTTTTCTCCTGACTCTATAATGCCTCTCAGAGGATAAAAAGAAGGACCACAAGGTACTACTAAGCCAAAGCACTAAAAGCAGGTGTAGAGAAAGAATGTGAAAATGAGAATCAAAAACAACTGGGAATTGTTTATAGGATTCATTTACCTAAAGTACTGCTGCTCCTAGCCCCAGAGTGTCTTGAGAACTGACTCTGCTCAGGAGCTGGCACAGGTTTGCAGTCCCACTACTTTTGCACATTACAGCACCCTTTCCCTAGATCTTACCCTGTATTCTTTCCTTTCCAAATCTGGAACCTGTCCTGCCGACCAGCTTTTTGCTGTGCGCTCGTGTAAAGGTTGTACCTGCTTCCAGTGGAACAGGCGGCCCAAAATCACCTTCCTTCTTTCTAACATAACTACAATAACCAAAACTTCGTGCAGACATCTCCTGGTGTACCCTCACTCATGCAATCCCTCAGATGGCAACAGTCCCCTTCTATATGAAGTTTTCTTGAACAGTGATGTTTAGGCACATAGTCATCCCCATGGACATCATCACCACATTCTCAAAGCATTTTATAGTTGGGCTGGTTAGTAGAGTCAAATTTGGCAAAGAATATACTGGTTCTTGGGATGCAAATGTAAAGTTAGAGAAGTTTCTAAAACCATCTTGATATTTGCAGTAGGATTTTAATGCAGTATTGCATTTGAGACTGGTCACTGAACATACACAACAATAAGTGAGCTTTTCTAGGTGGTCAAAATCCAAAGACTCCCCCTTAAGTGGTAGAATAGGAAAGACCATAGAAAATACTGTATAAACAAAACTCTGTAAATCCTGAGTCTGAATTTTGGTAAACTCTGGAGTTCCTCTAGGGGGTAGAAGAAATGGAGATGTCAAGAATTGATTTTTTTGTCCTATATGTTAGCTTTAATTTAAAAAAAAGGAAAAAAAAAAACCTCACTATCCTTTTATTACCTCTTGTCTGTGTACTTTCCCCAGAAAAAAAATCCTGGTTTTCCATATGTCTAATGGCACCTGTACAGATGTTCAGGCAGGAGCATTAGGGTGATATGCAGCAGGGGCTTCCACGTTAAGAGTATGACCATGCAACAAATGCAAGGAGAAAATACTCAGTCTACTGATATTATAGAAGTTATTAGACAGGGAAGTGCAGGAAGGTACTATTGAATGAAGAAGGATGAACCCTTTCTTCAGAGATTTAAAGCATTCTTTTGAAAAATATATGTAATTCTCTATTTGAAAGCATCTGTCACATAATAAAATCTTAAGAAAGTTGGCAAAATGCAAGGCCAATTTGGCCTTCTCAGAAACCCCTCCAGGAAACAAAGAGGGTTGTTGTCCTAACAAAGTGTAATAATTGCTCTTTTTTGAGCACCTGCTATGTAACAGGTAATGAGAGATCCTGCAAGTGCTCATCCACATACTGTCTTGATTTATTTCCTGGGTGCATGGAAAAACTACATTGCCTAGTTCACTTGTAGTTAGGAAGGGTCATGTGACTATCTTTGCCACTGATATATGAGCAGAAGCAATATTTGCCATTTATAGGCCAAGACATGTGAAATCCAGGTGGCTGCCTCTATTTTTTTACCAGTCAGTAGCAAATATGGAGAGCTCATGTCGAGATATGGAACTACTGATGGAAACAGCTTGGATTTGTGAGTCACCTGGTGGCAAAGACCCACTGCCAAATTACGTAAGATTTTATGTGAACAAACAAATAAACTTCTGTTGTGTTAAGCCATTCAGATTTCAGGTTTTTGTTTTGCATCAGCTAGCAGTTCCTTCATCTAATACTGACATACTGTTTATGTTGATAAGCTTATTTAAATCTTTTAACAGCAAAGCTAATAGTAATGCATATATTCTTGTTCCAAGTATTTCTTACAGCATACATAAATCAATTCCCTCCCTCTATAATGTTCCCTCAAAATTCAACTTTCTCCTCAGAGGGAATTACAATTAAAAAACCTAGTATGTATAATTTTAAAAATAATGTTAAGCTTTTTAATATATAGATTTGCTATAAAATATATTGTAATGTTTTAACGTAATGGGTAGTGATATACATATTGTTCTTCCACTTGCCTTTGTCAGTTAACAAAGTGACCACAACATCATTCCGTGCCAGCATGTGTAAATCTATCTCACTATTTTATCTACTTTCTTGAAATTCTAAAGTAAGTTCCCAATATAATTTAACAATTCTCTTTCTGATGGACACATAAGTAGTTTCCCATTAGTTGATATAATTAATAGAACTGAAATAAACATCTTCAAACATCAATATTTTGGCAAGTGTGAATAAGAAAAACATAGCAAAGCAGAAGCTGAGATAGAGCAAATTTATTTTTTAATATTGCCAAAATGTCATCCCACAAATATTCTACCAATTCATATTCTCACAAATTAATTTATGCAAATACTGTGCACTCTCACAGACATTATTTTTTCTTTTTCAATTTCATTTTATTTTAGATTCAGGAGGTACCTGTGTAGGTTTGTTACATGGATATATTGTGTAGTGATGGGATTTGGGCTTCTAGTGTACCCATCACCCAAATAGTGTACACTGTACCCAGTAGGTAAATTTTTAATGCTCAGTCTCCTCCCAGACATTGTTTTCAATCCTTTAACCTTTAGTTAAACTTATATGTTGAAAGATAATGTCTTACAATTATGTTAATTTAATTTTAATATCATTATTTTAATTTGTTTAATGTTTTCTAATTAGACTTAGCAGAAAATTGCCTACTACTTCACACATGTAAAGCTGGATTTCTGCAGTAATATTCTGAATCACAAGATTCCTCAGGCCATTCTTTAAAATTCTAATGTCTCAGCCAAGGCCACAGGAGACAAAAAAAATTATGATGCCTAAAAGATATTTCCCCTTTGTACTGGAAAGCAAGCATTTGTCAGTATGACTGAATGCCAGGGAAGGAGGCCACACATGACACTCTCAGCTAGTGAGGAGTATCAAGAAGAAAGGGGATAGAAGAATTTCCAGAGTCCATGAGAGAGACACCATGCACAACCAAGTCCAGAGAGGTCTGGGCAGGCTAGTAGTCAGGGTTCTGAATCAAGAATTCAGCCTTGTGTGGAGGAGCTATAAAGAGACAAAGTGGAGGATCTGGGTGGTGCATCCAGGACAACATATATGAATAGCCTTCAGATATCTCTTACTCACCACTGCCTGATGAAAATTACTGGATAATTTGAGTGAACAGGTCTACGGGGTGAAAGAACCAGAGCATATCAGACACCCCATCCTACCTTAGACTGCTTGCTACATATTGTCAAGCAGACTGACTATTGTTGGCTCCTATATATCAAGTAATACTACTTATGGCTCCTGAGGGAGCAACATTTCTTGATGACCCTGGGACCCAATGCATTCTTGCCAATGTACCTGAGCTGAAGGCTATCTTTATGTCTCCTGAACAGAGGCATTTCTTCCCCTATGAACAGTGGATCCTGTCCCCTGAGGTTGGCACTGTGCAAATAAATGGGGTTAGTGAATAATGATACATAGTTGAGACAGGCCAGGAATAGCATGAGTAGTGGACGAGGACACGTAGCTGGAAGGAGGGAGAAATTGATGTCCCAAGCTTAGACGGACTTTTCATGCTTCTTGAATTTTTGCACTACAGAGGGTGGATATCTGTATTTGCTGGTCTATGTTTGCCACCAGATACTGCACGGGGTAAGGGTGTCTTAGTTATTTCAGGTGGCTACAACAAAAATGCCGTAAACTTAGTGGCTTATAAACAATAGAAAATTATCTCTCACAGTTCTGGAGGTTGGGAAACCCAAAATCAAAGCCCAACAAATTTGGGTTTCTGGTGAGGACCTAATTTCTAGTTCATGGATAACTGTCTTTTTGCTGTGTCCTTCCACCGTGAAAAGGGCAAGGAATCTCTTTTGAGTTTATTTTACACGGGCAATAATCACAATAATGAATCCCCACCCCCCACCCCCGCAGAACCTAATCACCTCCCAAAGGCCTCACCTCCAAATACCATTACCATGAGAGGTTAGGATTTCAAAATGTAAATTTGGGGAAAACATAAACATTCAGTCCATTCCAAGTGCATTGGCCTACAGTATAGACAGTTGCAGAGTGGATGGTGAGCTTATGGAGATGGCACACTACCCTGTTAAACTGATGGTGGCTGATGAAAATATGTGAGATCTAATGCAGCAAGCATCATATAACATCTTATTGCCAGCATCTCCACCTTTAAGATGAGAGTGTTAGGGCCTGGGAAGGAGACATTTCCAATCACACACTGTGATAGATTTTAATGATAATTCTCAGGTTAGGTGAACAGTTGTAGCACTTTGGGATTCTTCCATGAAGGCAGAAGAACCTACCAGGAGGCAGGCTTCATATTTCAGTACTTCTTAATTATAATTTTTGTGGGTACATAATAGGTGTATATATTTATTGGGTACATGAAATGTTTTGACACAGACCTGCAAAGCATAACAACTGCATCATGGAGAATGGGGTATCCATACCCTCAGGCATTTATCTCTTGTGTTACAAACAATTCAGTTATAATATTTTCATTATTTTAATATGTACAATTATTATTTACTATAGTAACTCTGTTGTGCTATCAAATAGTAGGTCTTATTCATTCTTTCTAACAAATTTTTTTGTACCCATTAACCATCCTCATATAGCCCCACTACCCTTCCCAGCCTCTGGTAACCATCCTTCTACTTCTCTATGTCCATGAGTTCAATTGTTTTGATTTTCAAATCCCACAAATAAGTGAGAACATTTGATGTTTGTCTTTCTGTTCCTGGCTTATTTCACTTAAAATAATGATCTCCAGTTCCATCCATGTTGTTGCAAGTGACTGGATCTCATTCTTTATGACTGAATAGTACTCCATTGCGTGTATGTAGCATATATTATTTTTCCATTCATCTGTTGATGAACACTTAGGTTGCTTCCAAATCTTAGCTGTTGAGAACAGTGCTGGAACAAACGTGTGAGTACAGATGTCTCTCTCATATACTGATTTCCTATTTTTTGGGTCTATATCCAGCAGTGGGATTTCTGGATTTGATGACAGCTTTATTTTTCATTTTTTGAGGAACCTCCAAACTGCTCTCCATAGTGGTTGTACTAACATTTCCATCAACAGTATACAAGGGTTCCCTCTTTTCTCCACGTCCTCATCAGTATTTGCTATTGCCCCTCTTTTGATATAAGCCATTTTAACTGGGGTGAGATGATATCTCACTGAAGTTTTGATTTACATTTTTCTTATAATCAATGATGTTGAGCATCTTTTCATATGCCAGCTTGTCATTTGTAGGTCTTCTTTTGAGAAATGTCTATTCACAGTTTTTGACCATTATTTAATTGGATTATTAATTTTTTCCTTAGAATTGCTTGAGCTGCTTATGTATTCTAGTTATTAATCCCTTGTCAGATGGGTAGTTTGTTAATATTTTCTCCTGTTCTGTGGGTTGTCTCTTCACTTCGTTGGTTGTTTCCTTTGCTGAGCAGAAGCTTTTTAACCTGATGTGATCCCATTTGTCCATATTTGTTTCGGTTGCCTGTGCTTGTGGGGTATTACTCAAGAAATTTTTGCCCAGACCCATGTCCTGGAGATATTCTTCAATGTTTTCTTGTAACAGTTAAATAGTTTGAGGTCTTAAATTTAAGTATTTAATCCATTTTGATCTGATTTTTGTATATGGCAAGAGATAGGGGTCTAGCATCATTCTTCTGCATATGGACATCCAGTTAACCCAGCACCATTTATTGAGGAGACTATCTTTTCTGCAGAGTATATTCTTGGCACCTTTGTCTAAAATGAGTTCACTGAAGGTATGTGGATTTTTTTCTGGGTTCTCTATTCTGTTCCATTGGTCTATGTGTCTGTTTTTATGCTAGTTCCATGCTGTTTTAGTTATTACAGTTCTGTAGTATAGCTTGAAGTCAGGTAATATGATTCCTTCCTTCAGTTTTGTTCTTTTTAGGCTATTCTGGGTCTTTTGTGGTTCAATATAAACTTTAGAATTTTTTTTTTCTATTTCTGTGAAGAATGTAATTGGTATTTTGATAGACTGCATTGAATCTGTAGATTGCTTTTGGTAGTATGGGCATTTTAACAATATTGATTATTCCAATCCATGAACACGAAATATTTTTCAGTATTTTGGGCATCCCTTTCAATTTCTTGCATCAGTGTTTTATAGTTTTATTTACAGAGACCTTTCATTCACCTCTTTAGTTAATTCCTATGGGTTTAATTTTATGTGTGGCTATTGCAAATGGAATTATTACTATCATTATTATTTTTTATTATACTTTAAGTTTTAGGGTACATGTGCACAACGTGCAGGTTTGTTACGTAAGTATACATGTGCCATGTTGGTGTGCTGCACCCATTAACTCGTCATTTATATTAGGTATATCTCCTAATGCTATCCCTCCCCACTCCCCCTACCCCACAACAGGCCCCAGTGTGTGATGTTCCCCTTCCTGTGTCCAAGTGTTCTCATGGTTCAGTTCCCACCTATGAGTGAGAACATGCGGTGCTTGGTTTTTTTGTCCTTGCAATAGTTTGCTGAGAATGACAGTTTCCAGCTTCAGCCATGTCCCTACAAAGGACATGAACTCATCCGTTTTTATGGTTGCATAGTATTCCATGGTGTACATGTGCCACATTTTCTTAATCCAGTCTATCATTGTTGGACATTTGGGTTGGTTCCAAGTCTTTGCTATTGTGAATAGTGCCGCAATAAACATACGTGTGCATGTGTCTTTATAGCAGCATGATTTATAATCCTTTGGGTATATACCCAGTAATAGGATGGCTGGGTCAAATGGTATTTCTAGTTCTAGATCCCTGAGGAATCACCACATTGACTTTCACAATGGTTGAACTAGTTTACAGTCCCACCAACAGTGTAAAAGTGTTCCTATTTCTCCACATCCTCTCCAGCACCTGTTGTTTCCTGACTTTTTAATGATTGCCATTCTAACTGGTGTGAGATGGTATCTCACTGTGGTTTTGATTTGCATTTCTCTGATGGCCAGTGATGATGAGCATTTTTTCATGTGTCTTTTGACTGCATAAATGTCTTCTTTTGAGAAGTGTCTGTTCATATCCTTTGCCCACTTGTTGATGGGGTTCAAAAGCTGGAGGCATCACACTACCTGACTTCAAACTATACTACAAGGCTACAGTAACCAAAACAGCATGGTACTGGTACCAAAACAGAGATATAGACCAATGGAACAGAACAGAGCCCTCAGAAATAATGCCACACATGTACAACTATCTGATCTTTGACAAACCTGACAAAAACAAGAAGTAGTGAAAGGATTCCCTATTTAATAAACGGTGCTGGGAAAACTGGCTAGCCATATGTAGAAAGCTGAAACTGGATCCCTTCCTTACACCTTATACAAAAATTAATTCAAGATGGATTAAAGACTTACATGTTAGACCTAAAACCATAAAAACCCTAGAAGAAAACCTAGCCAAAACCATTCAGGACATAGGTATGGGCAAGGACTTCATGTCTAAAGCACAAAAAGCAATGGCAACAAAAGCCAAAATTGACAAATGAGATCTAATTAAACTAAAGAGCTTCTGCAGAGCAAAAGAAACTACTATCAGAGTGAACAGGCAACCTATAGAATGGGAGAAAATTTTTGCAATCTACTCATCTGACAAAATGCTAATATCCAGAATCTACAAAGAACTCAAACAAATTTACAAGAAAAAACAAACAACCCCATCTGCAAATGGAATTATTTTTAAAATTTATTTTTCACATTATTCACTGTTGGCATATAGAAATGCTACTGAATTTTGTATGTTTATTTTTATCCCACGACTTTATTGAACTTGTTTAACAATTCTAATAGTTTCTTTGGAACGTCTTTAGAATTTTTTCAAATATGAGATCATATCATCTGCAAACAAGGGTAATTTGACTTCTTTAATTCCAATTTCAGTGCCTTTATTTCTTTATTTTGCCTGATTGCTCTAGCTAGAAGTTCCAGTACTATCTTAAATAACAGTAGTGAAAATAAGAATCCTTATTTTGTTCCAGGTCTTAGTGGAATGGCTTTCAGTTTTTTTCCATTCCATATGATATTAACTGTGGGCCTGTTTTATATAGCTTTTATTATTTTGAGGTATGTTCCTTACATATCTAGTTTTTTGAGAGATTTTATCATGAAGAGATGTTAAATCTTATCAAATACCTTTTTAGCATCAGTGGAAATTATCATGTGGTGTTTGTCCTTCATTCTGTTGACGTGATGTAACACGTTAATTGGTTTACATATGTTGAACCATCCTTGTGTCTCAGAGATAAATCCCACTTGGTCGTGATAAATGATATTTTTAACATATTGTTGAATTCAGTTCACTAGTATTTTTTTTTTAACCTTAAGTTCTGGGATACATGTGTAGAATGTGCAGGTTTGTTACATAGGTATACGTGTGCCATGGTGGTTTGCTGCACCAATTGACCTGTTATCTACGTTCCCTCCCATCACTCCCACCCCCAACAGGCCCCAGTGTGTGTTGTTCCCCTCTCTGTGAGCATGTGTTCTCCTTGTTCAACTCCCACGTATGAATGAGAACATGTGGTGTTTGGTTTTCTGTTCCTACGTTAGTTTGCTGAGGACAATGGCTTTCAGCTTCATCCATGTCTCTGCAAAAGACACGATCTCATTCCTTTTTATGGCTGCAGTACTCCATGGTGTATATGTACCACATCTTCTTTATCTAGTTTATCATTGATAAGCATTTGGTTTGGTTCCATATATTTGCTATTGTGAATAGGGCTGCAATAAACATACATGTGCATGTGTCTTTATAGTAGAATGATTTATATTCTTTTGGGTATATACCCAGTAATGGGATTGCTGGATCAAATGACATTTCTGGTTCTAGATCCTTGAGGAATTGCTACACTGTCTTTCACAATGGTGGAACTAATTTACATTCCCACCAACAGTGTAAAAGCGTTCCTATTTCTCCACAGCCTCATCAGCATCTATTGTTTCTTGACTTTTTAATAATCACCATTCTGACTGGCATAAGATGGTATCCAACTGTGGTTCTGATTTGCATTTCTCTAATGATCAGGGATGTTGAGCTTCTTTTCATATGTTTGTTGGCCACATAAATGTCTTCTTTTGAGAAGTGTCTGGTCATATCCTTTGCCCACTTTTTGATGGGGTTACTTTTTCTTGTAAATTTGTTAATTTCCTTGTAGATTTTGGATATTAGACCTTTGTCAGATGGGTAAATTGCCAAAATTTTCTCCCATTCTGTAGGTTACCTGTTCACTCGGATGATAGTTTCTTAAGCAGGTACAAGACAAGGATGCCCTCTGTCACCACTCCTATTCAATGTAGTATTGAAAGTTCTGGCCAGGGCTATCGGACAAGAGAAAGAAATAAAACGTATTTATATAGGAAGAGATGAAGTCAAATTGTCCCTGTTTGCAGATGACATAATTCTATATTTAGCAAACCCCATTGTCTCAGCCCAAAAAACTCCTTAAGCTGATAAGAAACTTCATCAATGTCGCAGGATACAAAATCAGTGTGCAAGAATCACAAGGGTTCCTATACACCAACAATAGACAAGTAGACAAATCATGAATAAACTCCCATTCACAAATGCTACAAAGTGAATAAAATACCTGAGAATACAGCTAACAAGGGATGTGAAGGACCCTTTCAAGGAGAACTACAAGCCACTGCTCAAGGAAATAAGAGAGGACACAAACAAATGGAAAAAACATTCCATCATCATGGATAGAAAGAATCAATATAGTGAAAATGGCCATACTGCTGAAAATAATTTATAGATTCAATGCTATCCCCATCAAGCTACCATTGACATTATTCACAGAATTAGAAAAAACTACTTTAAATTTCATATGGAATCAAAGAATAGCCCATATATCCAAGACAATCCTAAACAAAAGGACAAAGCTGGAGGCATCATGCTACCTGACTTCAAACTATACTACAAGGCTACAGTAACCAAAACAGCATGGTACTGGTACTAAAACAGACATATAGACCAATGGAACACAACAGAGGCCTCAGAAATAACATCACACATCTACAACCATCTGATCTTTGACAAACCTGACAAAAACAAGCAATGGGAAAAGGATCTCCTATTTAGTAAATGGTGCTTGGAAAACTGGCTAGCCATATGCAGAAAACTGAAACTGGACCCCTTCCTTACACCTTATACATAAATTAACTCAAGATAGATTAAATACTTAAATGTAAAACCCTAGTATTTTGTTGAGAATTTTTGCATCAACATTACTCAGAGATACTCGTCTGTAGTTTTCTTTTTTGATATGTCTTTGTCTGGTTTTAGTATTGGGGTAACACTTGCCTTGTAGAATGTGTTTGGAATTATTCTCTCCTCTGTTTTTCAGAATAGCTTAAGTAGCGTTTCTATTAGTTCTTTTTTAAATGTTTGATAGAATTCTGCAATGAAGTCATTGTGGCCTGGACCTTTCCTTACTGGAAGATCTTTTGTTACAACTTTGATTTTGTTACTTATTATTGCTCTATTCAGGTTTTGGATTTCTTTCTGGGTCAATTTTCCCAGGTTGTATGTGTCTAGGAATTTGTCAATTTATTCTAAATTTTCCAATTCTTTGGCATATAGTTGCTTACAGTAGCCAGTAATAATGCTTTGAATTTCTGCAGTATCAGTTGTAATGTCTCATTTTTTATATCTGATTTTATTTATTTTGATATTCTTTCCTAGTTTGTCTGGCTAATGTTTTGTCAAATTTGTTTAACTTTTCAGAAACCAACTTTTTGTTTAAATGGGCTTTTGTATTGCTTTTTAAATTTCAAATTCATTTATTTCAGCTTCGTTCTTTATTACATCTTTTCTTTTACAAATTTTTGGTTTTGTTTGCTCTTGCTTTTCTAGTTCTTTAACATACAATTAGATCGTTTATTTAAATTTCTCTTTTTATGATGTAGGCAGTTATACCTATAAACTTCCCGCTTAGTACTGCTTTTGCTGTATCCCATAGGTTTTGAAATATTGTGTTTACATTATCATTCCTTTTAAGAAATTTTTCATTTTCCTTCTTAATATTGTTATTGACCAACTGGTCATTTAGGAGTATATTGTTCATTTTTTCTGTATTTGTATAGTTTCCAAAATTTCTTTTGTTATTGATTTATAGCTTTATTCCACTGTGGTCAGAGAAGATGCTTGATATTATTTCAATTACTTTTGAATATTTTAATACTTTTTTCTGACATAACATATGGTTGCCTATCCTTGAGAATGATCCATGTGTTGAGTAAAAGAATGTGTATTCTGGGCCGGGCTCGGTGGCTTACGCCTGTAATCCCAGCACTTCGGGAGGCTAAGGCGGGTGGATCATGAGGTCAGGAGATGGAGACCATCCTGGCTGACACGGTGAAATCCCGTCTCTACTAAAAAAATACAAAAAATTTGCCAGGCGTGGTGGCGGGCATCTGTAGTCCCAGCTACTTGGGAGACTGAGGCGGGAGAATGTTGTGACCCTGGGAGGCAGAGTTTGCAGTGAGCCAAGATAGTGCCACTGCACTCCAGGCTGGGCGACAGAGCGAGACTCCGTCTCAAAAAAAAAAAAAAATTAAAATAAAAAAATTTAAAAAAATGTGTATTCTGTAGCTATTGGATAAAATGTTCTACGAATATCTTAGATCCGTTTGGTCTACAGGGCAGATTAAGTCCAAAGATTTTTTTGTTGACTTTCTGTCTGAAAACTCTGATCAATGCTGAAAGTGAGGTGTTAAGAGTCCCCAGCTATTATTGTATTGAGGCCTATCTCTCTCTTTAGTTCTAATAATATTTGCTTTATATATCTGAATGCTTCAGTGTTGGGTGCATATATTTTTAAAATTGTTATATCCTTTTGCTGAATTGACCCCTTTTTCATTATGTAGTGACTTTCTTTGTCTCTTATAGATTTTTCATAAAATCTGTTTTGTCTTATGTAGGTATCTACTCCTGCTAATTTTTAGTTTCCATTGGCATGGAGTATATTTTTCCATCCCTTTATTTTTAGTCTATGTGTGTCTTTATACATGAAGTGTCTTTCTCATAGGCAACAGATGAAAGGGTCTGAATTCTTTACCCATTTAGCCACTGTATGTCTTTTGATTGGACAGTTTAGTCCACTTGCATTCAACATTATTATTGGTAAGTAAGAACTTACTCCTGTCATTTTTTTTTTTTTTTTTTTTTTTTTGGTTAACTGGTTGTTTTGTTCATTCTTTCTTTTCTCTCTTCCTTTAGTGCAGGTGATTTTCTCTGTTGCATGTTTTTTGGTTTTAGGTTACCATGAGGCTTGCAAATACTATCTTACAACCCAGTATTTTACATTGGTAACAATTCTGTTTGCGTAAACAAACAAGCATGCAATGATTAAAAAAAAAAAAACTAATAACAATGCTATACCTTAACTTTTTCCTCTGTTTTTTTTTTTTTTGCCTTTTGGCTGTCTTTATTTATATTTTATTATACTATGTCTTGAAAAGTTGTTGTAGTTATTATTTTTGATTAGTTCATTATTTAGTCTTTCTACTTAGGATAAGAGTAGTTTATACACCAAAGTAAAGTGTTACAGTAATCTGTGTTTTTCTGTGTACTTACTATTACCGGTGAGTTTTGTACCTTCAGATGATTACTTATTACTCATTAACATCATCTTCTTTCTGATTCACATACTCTCTTCAGCATTTCTTGTAGGACAGGTCTACTGTTGATGAAATCCCTCAGCTTTTGTTTGTCTGGGAAAGTCTTTATTTCTCCTTCATTTTTGAAGGACCATTTTTCTGGATATACTCTTCTAGGGTTAAAGTTATTTTCCTTCAGCACTTTCAACATGTCATGTCACTCTCTCCTGGCCTGTAAGGTTTCTACTGAAAAGTCAGCTGCCAGACATATTGGAGTTTCATTGTGTGTTATTTGTTTTATCTTGTTACTTTTAGGATCCTATCTTAATCTTCATTTTGGGGAGTTTGCTTATTAAATGCCTTGAGGTAGTCTTCTTTGGGTTAAATCTGCTGCGTGTCCTGTAACTTTCTTGTACTTCAATATTGATATTTTTCTCTAGCTTTGGGAAGTTCTCTGTTACTATCTCTTTTAATAAACCTTCTACCCCCACTTCTTTCTCTACCTTCTCTTTAAGGCCAATAACCCTTAGATTTGCCATTTGAGGTTATTTGAGGTTTTGAGGCCTAGATTTTGTATGTCTGCTTAATTTTTTTTCTTTTGTCTCCTCTGAGTGTATATTTTCAAATAGCCCGTGTTCAAGCTCACTAATTATTTCTTCCGCTTGATCAATTATGCTATTCAAAGTCTCTGATGCAGTCTTCAGTATGCCAATTGCATTTTTCAGTTCTAGAATTTCTGCTTGATTATTTTTAATTATTTCAGTCTCTGTTAAATATATCTAATATGATTCTGAATTCCTTCTGTTTTATCTTGAATTTCTTTGAGTTTTCGTGGCACGGCTATTTTGAATTTTCTGTCTGAAAAGTCATACATCTCTATTTCTCCAAAACTGGTCCTTGGTGCATTATTTAGTTCATTTGATAAGGTCATGTTTTCCTGGAATGTCTTGATACTTGTAAATATTCATCAGTATCTTGGCACTGAAAAGTTAGGTATTTATAGTAGTCATCACTGCATGGGCTGGTTTGTATGTGTCCTTTTTGAGAAGACTTTCTACATATTCAAAAGGACTTGGGTGTTGTAATCTAAGCTATATCTGTTTTAGGGGGCACCTCAAGTCCAGTAATGCAGTGGTTTTTGCAGACTTGTATAGACATCACCTTGACGGCCTTGGAGATGATCCAGGAGAATTCTCTGTATTACCGGGGAATGAGTTTTGTTCTTTTCCCTTACTTTCTCCCAAACCGAGTCTCTCTCTGTTCAGAACCACCTGAAGCTGGGGGTGGTTGTGTTCTGTTCCCTTACTTTCTCCCAAACAGAGTCTCTCTCTCTGTTCAGAGCTACCTGAAGCTATGGGTTGTGTAACATAAGCACTCCTGTGTCAACCGCCACTATGACTATGCTGGGTCAGCCCTGAAACCAGCACAGCACTGGGTCACCCAAGGCCTGGTGTAACCATTCCATGGCTACTGCCTATGTTCACTTAGGGCCCTGGAGAACTACAATCAGCCAGTGGCAAAGCCAGGCAGGCCTGTGTTCTTCCCTTCAGGGTGGCAAGTTCCCTCATGCCCAGGTGGGTCTAAAGGTTCCATCCAGGAGCCAGGAACTAGAGTCAAAAATCTGAGTAATCTACTTGCTGTTCTATTGTACTGCAGCTGAACTGACATTCAGACCACAAGACACAGTCCTTCCCACTTTTCCCTCCCTTTTCAAAAGGCAGAGGAGCCTCACCCTATGTCAACTGCCACCACTGGCCACAAGAAGTACTACCAGCCTACTGCCAATGTTCCCTTAAGTTCCAAGGGCTCTTGAGTCAACTTGCAGTGAATGCTGCCTAGACTGAGATTCACCCGTCAGGGCAGTGGGCTCCCCTCTGGCTCAAGGCAGGTCCAGAAATGCCACCCAAGAGCCAAGTTCTGGAATCGGGGACCTCAAGACCCCACTTGGTACTCTATCCTGTTGTAGCCAAGCTGGTACCTAAAGTACAAGACAAAGTCACCTTTACTTTTTCCTCTTTTCTCAAGCAGAAGGAGCCTTGCCAAATAGCCACCACAGCTGGGAATGTGCTTAGTCTCACCTGAGGCCAGCAAGTCTCATGATCTCACCCAAGGCCCTCTGTGTAGTACCTTGGTATCACTGCTGGTTATTCAAGGCACAAGGTCTCTTCAGTTAGCAATTGACAAATCTTGCCAGGAATGGGTTCTTCCCTTCAAGGCAGCAGGTTACCTTCTGGCTCGGAGCATATCCAGGAATGTCATCCAGGAGCTAGGGCTTATTAAGAGGGCCTCGTGACTCTGACTTGTCTCCTATTCTGCTGCAGCTGAGCTGGTATCCAAGATGCAAGACAAAGTCTTCCCTAGTCTCTCCCCTCCACTTCTCAAATGGAAAGAAGGGGTCTCTTTTGGAGTCACAACTTTTTCAGCCTGGAGTTGGGGAAGGAATGATGTCAGAACTCCCTTAGCCACCCTGGCTGATGTCTCAGTAGGCCATGTGCCCCCCGACCCAACCATCTGTGTCCTTAGTTCCGGGCCCAGTTCAGCACAAGGATCCACCTAAAAGTTGGAGTACTTGTAGTCTTTACAGCTTATTAGGGCCCCAGGGCACTTTAGACTGTGGTGATGAGGTTTGTGGGAACTCAAGTTTGGACCACTAAAATCACAATTCCCCTCTTGCTAGGACTGACTTAAATGCTTCCTTCATGGACAAGCATCAACTGAGTTTGGTCCAATTTTCATGTCTTTTATAACTAGACAGCACTGTGATCAATGCTTCACAACTGCTGTGATCTTTCTCCCCTAACAGCCAGAGATGCCATCTGCACCACGCTGCCTCTGCTGGGAGATGGGAAAGGGGTAGCACTGGTGATTCAAGGCTGTTTTTCTTGCCTTTTCAGTGCTTCGTTCAGTGATATTAAATTAAAATCACTTGATTTTTAGTTCTTATGAACATGTTTTTCTTGTATAGATAGTTGTTAAATTTATGTCTTTGTGTGGGGGAAGATCGGTGCAGCCTTCTTTTCCACCATCTTGCTCTCCTGTCACATTTCATATGTTGGCTCATTCATTCATTCTTCCAAAATTTATTGAACATATACTAAGAGAAACCCTAAGTAAACAAAATAAAAGGAAGTACCAAGCCACTTGATTTAGGCTGTGGGTATGATGATGAGGAAGGGGAGACAGGTTTGAGTTTTTGAAAGTTATTGACTATGTGAGAGGGTAAGGGAGAGTCTATAATGACTAAGTCCTGAGGTTGGATGGCTAGGTAGAAGCCATTCCTCTTAGCTGAGATTGAGGATAAAAGAAAAGGAAGAGTTGGTGGCAATTAATTCAACTCTCCAGAAGTAAGGAAGTGTGTGGCAGATGAGATCAGTGTGGGCCACATAGATGGCAAGATTGTACTGGCTGTCTAGGTGAAGATGTTCAGTGGGAAATAGAAAATGTGAATTTTGCTATCAGGAAAGGGGCCTGGGCTGGAGATGAGGATTTGCTAAGTCAGGAAAGGTCCTGTGAGGCCATAAGTTAGGTGAAATCAAGTGTTATGCATATGCTGGCATATAATTTGTCTACTCTCCTGCAAATACCACTGGAAACTCAAATTACACAAAGTCTAATAAATCCAGGGAAGAGATTAAAGGAATAAATGAAGTAATCACCCAGAAATTCTCCAATCAGAAAAAAATTTTGTGTTGCCTTAAACTCTCTTTTTAAAGCATATATTTATACCTTTGCTTATGTATTACCTATACTTGTGTATTTGTGACATATATAAAGTTATATATCCTAACTTTTCAATCTCACATCTGCTATCATACATCTCTTTTAGGATTCCACTCTTCATCACTTTTGTGTAAACTTGAGTTTACCCCAATACCCAGACTCTTATCTGTTCTAACTACTATGTTTGTTCTAAGAAGCTGGTAACTCCACAGTAACTCCAGAGTAACTCGAGTTTCTCATGATATACAGAGCAAGGGACTGGAAGAAATCATGGGCCCTGGAGGCTGGACCTCCATGATGCATTTTGTGTCTAACTAAGAGACAATGATTGCCAAATATTTAGACATGAGACCGTTTATCCCAATTGAAGCCTTCCTTACAAATCTAATTTATAAGCATGAAGAAGTCTGAGCACTCAGTGAAGCAGGGACTGCAAGCCCAGAGTCCTTTCCACTCATTTCCCCTTCTTCCCCCTCAGGTCAGTGGGCCCTGTTACTCACAGAAATCGAGGGAGTATCCTAAGCACTACTGGGAAAGTTCAGTGCTAAAAGACACTTCCTCAGACACGGACTTCATCTAGAGTTGCTAGATATCCTGAATACACAGGATATGTACTCTATATGATTTTGTCATGCATCTTGTGTTGACTTTATCAGGAAACCCCAAATGTCCTGTATTTGGCTTTTTTAATTTAACAAGTTGCAAACATTCAACACTTAGAGTTACTTTTTCACCACAGTAATCAGCAATTAAATTACTTAAGACAACATTAGCTGAAATTATACCTCGACAAATAAAGATCTGGGTTCTCATTCAGGTTTAGTTGAAGGAAAATCAGAATCAGTGACTTAGAATTAAAGGAAATATTGATGGAAGGAAACGTCTGTTCTTTGCCAAAGTCCCAAGTCACGAACAAGTAACCACCATTAAATGAAATTACTAATCAGTATCATGAGCCTGTCAATGACAGCCTCACTCCAGTAACTAAGTTTCTGAAAGTGAGCAGATCAGTGACTGCCCCAAGACTTCTGAAAAGCAGCCAATCACTGACAAAGCTCTGGTCCCAAAAGGTAGCCAATCAGTGACAGCTGCTCACTTCTTGACAGAAGCAGTCAGAAAGTCTATCTGTTCACTGGCTTTGCTTCTGAAAGTCCACCAGAACACAGCAGCCTTAGTCTAGTGACCATGGAAACACAGCTGAAAGTCCGTCAGTCCCTAAACACTACCACTTCTGTACGTCTGCCAACCCCTGACACCCCAGACTAACCAAAACCTTATATAGGATTAGCTCTGGCTTTGTTTATGAAGTCCGTGCCTAACAAGTTCAGTTCTCTCTACGGGAAAAAGGGTAGTTCACCTTTTATTGCATCAGATATTCAATTCGTTAGTTAAGCTTACAGCCTTTCCACCAGTCAATCCCTATTTACAAACTTGTTCAGACTTGTGAGTGACAGACACACTGGCCAGCTGTGAGATATTTATTTATTTATTTATTTTGAGACAGAGTCATGCTCTGTCACCCAAGCTGGAGTGCAGTGGCGCCATCTCAGCTCACTGCAACCTCCACCTCCTAGGTTCAAGCGATTCTCGTGCCTCAGCCTCCCAAGTAGCTGGGATTACAGATGTGCACCACCGCTCCCAGCTAATTTTTGTATTTTTAGTAGAGACAACATGTTTCACCATGTTGACCAGGCTGGTCTTGAACTCCTGGCCTCAAGTGATCTGCCTGCCTCGGCCTCCCAAAGTGTTGGGGACTACAGGCGTGAGCCACTGCACCTGGCCTGGCTGTGAGATTTTCAAATTCAGTCTTTCATTCTTGCAATTTTTGGTATCATCTCTCTTTATTTCATGTCTATTTGAACCTTGCGATGCCCAAACACAAGTGCAAAAATGATGAAATTTATGAAAAGTTGACATCTATTAAATAAGGAAAAAGTCCTTTAAAAGCTTTTTGTGCAATACCCAATTGTTCATTCAATACAGAAAATTGTGGAAATTCAAACAATCATATATTATCAGCTGTGCATGAATTCCTCAGCTAGTTCCAAAGACAATGATAAAATAGCAAATTTTTAAATAACACAATGATAAAATAACACATTTAAATTAAGAAGACTATCACAATAGAAGTTGTAATGACTTTTCACACTGTATATAACCATCAGTCTTTCAACTCAAACTGGAAGCAAATTTTCAAGTGCCAAGACCAAATCTACTGCAATAATAATAATGACAAAAAATAATAGTTTTATTTACTGTTACAACAATTATCAAACATCTAAATGCCTCACCTTTTTATACCATGGCCACAGATGCATATAATGACATTACAGAATACATTTTTCCTCTGTGAAATTGTTTTTTCATAAAAAATACTTTCTCATCAGGCTGCTGTGAGTAAAGTTTTTGACAGATGCTATTTTAGAAACAATAGCTAATTTCCAGCCCTATCTAAAAAGCTAAGTGTTAATGATAACATGGTTAAAGTTGAAGCAAAGCATGCATGATTCTTTGATGAATGTTGGCTGTGTTGCCCATATTCTGCTTAATGCCTCTCAAAGAGCATCTGATGTCCTATATATTGGTATTGAAGTAATAGTCATAAAACAGCTCTCTTACTTCAGTCCTTACATTTTTTAACCTGAGAGATTATAGGATTTTTGTGATTTTGTTAGAATGCAAACTTTTTCAATTCCTATTAAAAAATCCATTGACTTTCTTGTACAAATGCATTTGAGAGAATATTTAATTTATTTGAAGCTCTGATGCCATATTAACCATATTTTGATTCTAAAGAAAAGGCCCTCAAAATTCGTGTCGGCTTTTAAGATTAGCTGCTGAGCAAAGCCTACTTATTTATTCTTCATCATTTTCAGTATCTCTCTAGCAATAACATTATATGCAATGAAAAAAAAGTATTATTGATGTAGTCCATTGATTAAGAGAACTTGTTGAATGTGTTAAAGAATTGATGAAAAATGAATTGCTTTAAGTATCAAGGCTGTTTTTTCAAATGGACAACATTACTTGTGAATAAAAAAAGAAATTTTGACCTGAAGTTGATAATTATTATGGCATTTGTCAAGCCTATCATTTTAATTGGATTTCACCACTTTAAGAATTTCATTTAGTAACATGTATGTCACTAAGTATTCTTGCAGCATGGGACCAAGAAGACGGGGATAACAATTGATAACCATGTTTTCTTTTGATAGAGAACATTTTTTTTAAAAGTTAAGAGATACAACACAATTCTGAAGAATGGAAAAGTAAGCTGTGCCATGAAAGAATTATTTGCTTCATCAAAGCAAATTTGAAGAACAGTTCTTAGAACTGTTAACTTTGGGCCAGTACATATTCAGTATACCAGCTCATAATGCTAATGTTGAGCATATTTTCTCATTAATGAATCTTCAAAGGGCAAAATAGTGAAATAAGTTGGAAGGGACCTCTGTAGAAGCTACTATACAATGTAAATGGAACAAAGACTAACTGCAAGAAATGTTATAAGCAAATTCTGCAAAACAAGAAAGTGTTAAAGAGAGGTAAATCCTGAAGAAAATATAATTAAAGAGAAAGGTAGATAGTTTAGAAATTTATAATTTATTTTAGATAAACATCAAATAATGTTTTAGTATAAGAATATCACATACATTTTTCCTTTATCTTGATGTGAATATGCACAGACAATGTTATGGGCTGAAATATCTTTCTCAAAAATTCATGTTAAAGTTCTAACCCCCAGTACCTCATATTGTTACTTATTTGGAGATACGGTCTTAATTTCCTAAAGAGGTAATTAAATTAAAATAAGGTCATTAGGTTGGGCCCCGATCTTTTATGACCAGAATACTAATAATAAAAGGAGATTAAGACATCTACACAAGAGTAAAGACACAGGGAGAAGATGGCATCTACCAGCCAAGGAGAGAGGCCTCAGAAGTAATCAACCTTGTTGACTCCTTGATCTTGGACTGCTAGCCTCCAGAATTGTAAGAAAATTAATTTATGATATTAAAGACACCCAGTCTGTGATACTTTGTTATGGGAGCCCTAGCAAACTAATAGAGACAATGGGAAATAATTCAAATTTAACTAGGCACCTTGCATTTTCATTTGCTATTTTTTGTAGCCCTAGCTGAGGGAGAATGAAAGGCAAAGCTGCCTCACACTCTTCTCAGGAAATGCAGCCTGGATGATGAACAAAGATGGCTTCATAAAAAGTGGTCTCAAATGTACAAGAAAAAGTGATTATAATCTCACACACACTTTTCCAGAGGATAAAATTTAAAAAAAAAACTTCCTGATTCAGTTTTATGCTACAAGCATCCTGATAAAGAAACTCGAGGATAAAAGCACAAAAAGAGCAATTTATAAGCCAATTTATCACTCATGAACATAGATGTAAAAACCCTGGACACATAATAATAGTAAAGAGAATCTGCAATATATTTATATATATTGCAGATACACAAACACACTTAGAACAATCTAATTTATCATTAGAAAGTCAGCTAATATAAATTATTGCATTACCATAAGAGAAAAAATTCACGTAATTATATGAAAGAAAGCCTTTGTAAAATTGAACATACATTAAGCATTGAAAAAAACGACAAACTTTTTAACAATCTAGTAATAGAAAGTTCTTCAACCTGCTAGAGATTATTAGTCAATGTTAAAATTTTAAAAGATATCAATTGAACCAATGATGTTTTTTATGGTCATTCAACATTGTACTGCAGGTCCTTACTGCCACCGTAAGGCAAATACCATAAACAAAATATATTGAACTTGTACAGGATGAAACAAAATTGTTATTATTCACAAATGATATAATTGTACACATGGATAATCTAAAATAATCTGAGGAAATAGATGAAAAACAATTAGTTTTCCAGATACTAATTAATAAAACAAAATTAATTATGTCTACATATCAGGAAAGAAGCTTAAATATAAAATTAAGAAGTATCATCTGCCATGGGAGTAAAAATGTCAAGTACTTGGAAAATATCTAATGCAAAATGTTCAAAACTTTTACAGAGAAATTTTGTATCCTTTATGAGGGACATTTTAGAAAACCTAAACAAATAGGAAGATATAAGTTTTCATGAATTGAAATGCACAATAACAATACCTCGTTATATGGTCTCCATATTGTGTTTGTTAAATAACTTAATTCTTACAAAGTTGGATGAAATTGGTTAGGTATCTTTGCCTTAAGTTTGAAGATATAGAAACTATGGGTCAAAAATTCAAGTAACTTGCCTAAAAGCATATCGTTAAGCAGCAAGGCCAGAACTTGAATATATATGTCTGTCTCAAAAGTCCCTGCTTTTTTCACAAGGCCAGTGAAGTAGACACTGTCAGTGACCTGCCCAATAACCCTCATATACCTCTTACCAGCTTTGTGTGTCCCTTTCCAAGTTTCTGCATGCTTTGCTGCTGAGGCGTCATACATTTAACCCTCAGAGGATTCCCTTTGGGCACTGGAATCTTCTTGCCCACAGAGATAGAAATGTTTAGTAATTTGGTACACTTCCCTCCAAGTCTCCAGGTAATCCATTGTCTCCTTTCAGTACAGAAAACTGGAAGTGCCTAGGAATTTTCTATTACCACATCCAATCCCATAGTAGTCCATAGCCAGTGACTGAATGATTTGACATTATAGAAGCCTGAAAGCCAAAATACTTTTAATGAGTACTTTTTTTTTTTTTGAAATGGAGTCTCGCTCTGTCACCCAGGCTGGAGTGCAGTGGTGCGATCTTGGCTCACTGCAGCCTCTGCCTCCTTGGTTGAAGCAATTCTCCTGCCTCAGCCTCTGGAGTAACTGGAATTACAGGCGCACACCACCACCCCTGGCTAATTTTGTATTTTAAGTAGAGACGGGGTTTCACCATGTTGGCCAGGCTGGTCTCAAACTCCTGACTTCAAGTGATCCACCCGCCTCGGCCTCCCAAAGTGCTAGGATTACAGGCATAAGCCACCGCGCCCAGCCTGATGAGTAATTTATGATCTTGAGCTCCCTGAGGGATAGTGTTGAGTCTGAGACCTCACCTGAAATTATACAGTTACCTAGTTTCTTCCCCTTTTCTATCATCAATCCTTCAATCCCTTGATAATTTCTCTAGGGAGCAAATTCTTACTAAAACACTTGCATCTGAAACCTTGGCTTATCTGGGAAAACATCACTTACTAAGCTGTAAGATATATTTACTTCAAATTCACAATCTAGATATACACCCCCAAATTATGTGGATGTGCTCATTATATGAGCTTTATTAAATTTATTATGAATGTGGAATTTGACATAGTAAAGTGATTATTCAATTCAGATAATGTTTATATAATTATTATAGTGATTTTTACCTGGTAATTTTATCTACCTGGCTTTCAGTTTTCTCCTTTGATAAATGAATGTATTGAGTCAGATATTCTCTAAGGCAGTAGGTTTTAACTGGGGGTATTTTGTCCCCCAGAAGACATTTGGTAATAGCTGAAGACATTTCAGGTTGTCACAGCTGAGGAGAAGTGCTACTGGTACTTCTAGTGGGTAAAAGCCAGGGAGGATTCTAATCAGCCTACAGTGCCCAGGACAGCCCGTCACAACCACAACAAAAAATCCAACCCCAAAATATCAGTAGTGCTGAAGTTGAGAATACCTGATATAAGATTTTATCTTCCTCTAAGATTCAATGAACTATTAATTCTAGTTCAGTCTACAATTATGTCAATTAACGTATTTTAATTCTATAAGAAACAAGTCAGCTTAGTGAGATAACTTAGTACTAACCAGTTACTTATTGGTTTGTTTATAAGCAGGTGATGGTCAGTTAAGGTAGAGTATCTTTGAATGGACATGCAAATTTCGTAACTTAACATTCAATGACCTGCTTACTGCTCTAGAAAATAGTTTTTAGAAAATGTGGAGCAGGCAGGGCGTGGTGGCTCACACCTGTAATCCCAGCACTTTGGGAGGCCGAGGTGGGCAGATTATGAGGTCAGGAGATCGAGACCATCCTGGCCAACATGGTGAAACCCTGTCTCTACTAAAAAAAAAAATACAAAAAATTAGCCGGGTGTGGTGGTGGGCACCTGCAGTCCCAGCTACTCGGGAGGCTGAGGCAGGAGAATGGCGTGAACCCAGGAGGTGGAGCTTGCAGTGAGCCGAGATCGCACCACTGCACTCCAGCCTGGGCGACAGAGTGACACTCTGTCTCAAAAAATAAAAATAAAAATAAAAGAAAGAAAAAAATGTGGAGCAGAGGACAGAGATTACATAATAAAAGTAAATAAAATGTTATTTTGTAACATGAAGTGGCATGGGCAAATTAAACACCACATGTAATGTGCTGACGTGCTGTCTTAGTCCACTTTGCACTGCTATAACAGAATAACACAAACTACATAATTTGTAGTGAAGAGAAATTTATTTTTCACAATTCTGAAGACTAGAATGCCTAAGATTGAGGAGCCTCCATCTGGTGAGGGTCTTCTTGCTGTGTCAGAAGGCAACAGGTCAAGAGAGGGACAGAGATCAAGAGACTAAACTCACAGCCTCAAGCCTGTTTGTAATCAGCATTAATCCATTCATGAGGGTAGAACTGTCATGACCTAAACACTTCCCATTAAATTCTACCTCCTAACACTGTTGCATTGGGAATTAAGTTTCCAACACATACATTTTCAGGAAAATATTCAAACCACAGCACATTACCATCTTATAACACACAATAATCATAGGCAGTTTAATTAAAACGCCATATGAAGATTGTGCACTTTTTGACTTCTTAATCTCAGTAACTCAGAGAAACTAATTTAATATTCTAATTTACTGTTCTTAATAGAGGAGGTTTCCAGTGACAGTTGCCATGTAAAGGTTTTATGGAACGGTGAACACATTAAAAGTCGTTCTTGTTAGGAGTCCTTTTGCTATATTTACCAAAAAAGTTCCTAATGCATTTTGTTACTTATCGTATATCATAATCCTCATGAATCACATGTGTTTAATGTGCCATTAAAACACCCTAAATTAAATGATGAAATGCTATCCTGTCTAGTTCTGTATTTTACCCATTTTAAAACTCATTTTCTTTGTAATGAAGCATAATTTAGAGCCAAATATGGGAGGAAATAAAGAAAAATTATTGACATCCCATAATGGAATTAATTCTACATACTGTATAAATAATCTATTTCTACAAAACCCTCATTTTATAAGAAATAGGGAAGCATAAGGAAGGACAAATTATTTGGGGTTAATAAAAAAAAGTATATGAAGGTGAATAAAGAAAATGAAATGAAGACATAGAAACTGAATTTCACAGGTAGAAGCTTGGTTCTACAGGCTGGCTTTACTCTTGTCTCCAAGTTCAAAAAAGAATGCATAAGCCTAAAGGTCTATAAAATGATTCCATGACAAATGGATTAGTTTAAGAAACTGCTTTATCCAAAAACAACATAATGATGATATAATAGGCTCTCAAGGGGCAAATGAAAAATGTCTCACTGGCCTTGTGTTTAATATTGGAGCATTCAGGCCGTTGGAAATCAAGATAAGAATATCATGTTTTGTGTCTTTCCCAATCTGCTACTTGCTATTTCATCATTATATTTATGATCAGCAGGATTTTGTGAATTGTACCTTGATGATCAAAAACTGAAAATGCAAAGATATGTTTATATGTTATAGAAAGATACAGTATAGCAGTATTCAAACTATTTATTTATTTAAAATATTTCTTATGATCCACAGAAAGAATGGCCTACCATCTCTCATAAGCAGTACGTAGCTCATTTATTGTGCATCTCAATAACCTTACTACTCAAGATAATTTTTGAATAAAAATATTTGTGAGTATTTTAAATAAATGGTTAATAACGTTAATTTTAATAAAAAAGTTCTATCTACAAAATGTACATAGTCTGTAAATGTAGAAAAGTATATTGAATATCATTAAGGACATCTTCACCTTGTAAAATAATAAAATAATGTTATCTATGTTTACAGATTTTATTGACACTGACACAGAACAGTATCCAAAGTGTGTTATTAATTGGGAAAAGCCAACAGCAAAACAATATGTACTACTATATCATTACTTTAATATAATAGTCAGATACACATATTTATCCATATGGAGATGAGAAAGGAGATTGAAGTAAAGAGATAACTTTATTATGATTGTATGCTTGAAATTTTTACAGTGAGAAAACAGTAATAGAGAATCACTCCAGTATTTTCACTCTTATTAGTAGTAAATCACTTGCAAAATACTTTACCCCTGAAATTGGTACAGGTGTGTGTGTGTGTACCAGGATGAAAATAGATGTCCTGTGAAGGATCCTTGTCTAATTGTCAGAGATCTGGGTCCTAATCCTTCTTTTGGCACAAACTGCTTGGCAGACCCTGGGAATGTGCTCCAGGCTCTCCATACATATAATGACAATTTCTAAGGTCCTGTCCCGCTGTACTATTTTAATTGTTTATAAAATGATCAGAAGTCAGGTAAAAACATGCATCAACTCAGTGAGACTATGTTGGATCTTAGAACTCTTCACTTCATGGTTGTGTCACAATATTCTTTTTGAGAAAGTGAAAAGGTCAGGAGTTCGAGACCAGCCTGGCCAACATGGTAAAATCCTGTCTCTACCAAAAATACAAAAAAATTACCTGGGCCCGGTGGTGCACACCTGTAGTCCCAGCTACTCGGGAGGCTGAGGCAGGAGAATCGCTTGACCCCAGGAGGAGGAGGTTGCAGTGAGCCGAGATCGTGCCACTGCACTCTAGCCTGAGTTACAGAGTGAGACTCCTTCTCAAAAAAAAAAAAAAATGCTTCCAATGGGATATAGCATTTTTGTATACAGTGCTTATACAAAAGGCCACACTATAGCTGAAAATATGACTAATCATTTTTTTCTCTGAGTGATTATCACTTTCTTATAAATGATGTCCCCAAGCCCGTGTTGTTTTCCCGATGTCTGTCTTAGTTTATTGTCTTCTGCTATAACAGAATAGCACAGACTAGGTGATGTATAAAAGAAAGAAATTATTCTTCACAGTTTTGAGGGCTGAGAAGTTAAAAAAATGTTATCAGCATCTGGTGAGGGCCCTCCTGCTGCATCATAATATGGTGGAAGGGCAAGTGAGCATGCGAGAGAGGGAAAGAGGAGATCAGGCAGAAACCACTCTTTTATCAGGAGCCCATTCCCATGATAACAATCCCACTCCCACGATAATGACATTAATCTATTCATGAGGGTGGAGCTTCAATGAGCCAAACCCCTCTTAAAGGTCCTACCTCACAATACAATTATATTGGCAATTAAATTTCAACATGCTTTTGGAGGGGACATACAGCACCACCTGAACAATGAATACCGAGAATCTGATTGCTAACCTGCTCCTCCTTGTTGACAAGAACCAATCCAAGCCAGGATTCATTCCATATCTGCCTTGGGAATATCAAGCACAAGCACAAACATATAAACAACTCCTGTGAAATCTCCATTACTGAGGTGCCCCAAGTTCCTATTTGGGGGTGTTCTTATTTGATGCAGTCCACTAAATAAACCTGACCTTGTTTGACTACAGATGCGTTCCTGCTTGTCTTTGACTCTCAGGCTATCACAGGTCCTTTTGGCCATCAGAAATATCATTCATATAACATAAATTGCATCTTCTGTCAAAAGGCACTTCCTTCAGTCAAGCAAACAGCCTCTCTTTGAAATCCTATTGAAATAAAACACACAAACAATAGCAGAGAGTGATTAATCCATATCCTTGAAGACAGTTTGTTTATATTCTCAAATTCTCTTCCCATTACCCATACCTACAACACTTCATTAATTGCTTAGGAATTTTTTTCTTTTACAGATAATGTTAAAGACATCCACAAATTGTAGGCAATTATATTTGAAATGTTAGGCATATCCCTCAAGAGATTTTTATTCATTATCTATTGCTATGCAACAAATTACTCCAAAATTTAGTGATTTAAAGCAACAAACATTTATTATCTCACAGTGTCCATAGGTCAGGAATTAGACAGCATGTTAGATGGGTAGTCATGGCTGGTCAAGGTCTTTCATGAGGTTGCAAGAAATCTTTCCTTGATTGAAACCAAAATAAATGATTTAATGTAAATTAATTGTTTAGAAGTTTATTTTCTTATTGACGAATGTGCCATTGAATAATTGTAATCAAGTCGCAGACATTTAAAAAGTATTTTTCCTATGTACAGCACAATATGAAAGCCTCATAAAAGTACTATGAATTCATTTTTTTAAGATGAAAAAACTGAGGCTTACACAGTTTAGATATTTTGTCTTTCATAATATCAGGATATAAACATAATTTCATAATATCAGGATATAAACACAATTTTTTTTATCAGGATGTAAACACAAATTTAACTAAAGACCCAAACAGTACTTTCTGTACAAGATCAGAACTTTCAGAGAAAATAAAATAATTGTAAAGAATAAAGGCATAGAGAAGGGGCAGAGAGAGAGAGAGAGACAATAAATTGATGTTTATTAACTGGACACTTAATATGTAGCATAAATATTTTATACATGATCTAACTTAATTAAGTCTACTGTCTTATTTAACAAAGTCTATTTACAATTCATAGTCCAGAAATATCTCCCTTACTGGTGAAAATTACAATAAAAGGTTTTTCAAATAAACAGAAAACTCAAGTCAAAATTATCTTCTCCATGTACAAGCACTGAGGTCCAAAGGGGAAGTCATTATATTTTGTCTTGGTATCTTTATCCTCACTTTCCTATGACCTTTTTCTTCAGAATACTTTTGTTTCTCATTTTCTTTCCTTCTGTAGAACAAAAATGAAGTATCTGTTATTTATACCTTTTTATAAAATGCCTACAGGGAAAAGAAGTTTTGCTGGGGGTAAGTCCCCAAATCTGGCCATAAACTGGCCCCAAAACTGGCCACAAACAAAATCTCTGCAGCACTGTGACAGGTTCGTGATGGCCATGACGCCCACGCTGGAAGGTTGTGGGTTTACCGGAATGAGGGCAAGGAACACCTGGCCCACCCAGGGCGGAAAACTGCTTAAAGGCTTTCCTGAACCACAAACAATAGCATGGGTGATCTGTGCCTTAAGGACATGTTCCTGCTGCAGATAACTAGCCAGCACCCCTTCCTTTGTTTTGGCCCATCCCTTTGTTTCCCATAAGGAATAGTTTTAGTAAATCTATAATCTATGGAAATAATGCTTATCACTGACTTGCTGTCAATAAATATGTGGGTAAATCTCTGTTTGGGGTTCTCACCTCTAAAGGCCTGATTTCCAACTCCACACCCTATATTTCTGTGCGTATGTCTTTAATTTCTCTAGCACCGCTGGGTTAGGGTCTCCACAACCGAGCTGGTCTCAGCAGAGTTTCAGTCAAATTTTTTTTAATTTCTTCTCAACATTAGGTTTGTGAGACCCTTATTTCTAAATGTGGCTATTCAGAAAGCAAGAAGTTAAATATTTAAAGAATGATACATCAAGTAGGACCTAAGACTTTTAAGTATTTAATGTGAAAAATAAAATTAAAGTATACTTAATTTCAAGTATTACTTTCAACATTGAAAGTTATAAATATTAGAGAAAGAAAAAACACTGGAAGTATAGTTTATGTGAAACTATACTAGAAAGGGTTGCTTGTGTGACTCACATATGCAGTTTTAAATAGGTGTCAAGTGAAGCTGTGCACATTTTGTTTGCCCACAGCAGTAAACATTAGGCTAACAGTATAGTCAAAGGAATTCAAGATTTGGACTCAGAAAGAAATGGCTTCAGATTCTAGTTTTACCACTACCAGTTATGTAACCTTGGGCAAGCTTGTTAACCTGTTTGTGACTCTGTTTATCAGTAAAATGAGAGAAATAATAATGCTTAATTTTTCTGGTTATGGCAAAGGTTAGAGCTAACATAGATAATTTGCCTAATACAGAGTAAAAACTTAGGAAGTGAGCTTTAATCAGTCTTAGTGTACATTTATTGATTTGGTTACAGAAAACGTGCTCTTTAGCTAGAAAGATGATCCCCTATCCCTTCTTAGCTACTCAGTTCTTAGATGGACAGTACTTGCAACTTCCCTCCCCATCTGTCAATTTATCTACACTCAGTAAGTGCAAAAGCCTGAATGTGCTTTCAGAAATATATTTCCTTAGACACCAAGCAATAGCTTCCTTTGTGTGAAGTTTCCAGATGTCAAGCAGGCT
Source organism: Homo sapiens (assembly GCF_000001405.40). NCBI lineage: Eukaryota > Metazoa > Chordata > Mammalia > Primates > Hominidae > Homo > Homo sapiens. The sequence continues at coordinate 35,091,503 of NC_000023.11, forward strand.
TACCTCACCTATGTATCTGGTTAGTAGACTGAAAATCTTAGATGTTTATTTGCTCAAATGTGAGCAATACATTCAAAATGAGTTCCCATTTAAAATTCTAAGATATTCATTTTGGATAGCTTGACAAAAAATGGATAAATATGTTTGTGCTTTCAATCCTGGCAATACAAAAAGGTGATAGACAAGAAACATTATTTTACATTTTATAGATACAAGATTTTATATACAATCAGAAAAATACCCCATAAAAATTATAACTAATTCTTAATCAGTTTTTAAAATCCTTTTGTATAAATAGCTTCCAAAGAATAAATGATATGTTGATAGATATTTATGGACTAATAATTTTATTACTTAAATGTGCTCAATCATAAACTGTGAGGATATAGAAAGATAAATATCCCACTACACTTAAAATTTATAAAAGACTGATTAAAGTCAGTAGAGACTAGTTTATTTTAGCACTAGGAAACTTTATAAAGTCTAGCCTGTTTGAAGATGCAAAATTTGAGAACCATTAAAGAGATTTGCACTCTTTCAGTTCCATCAGGAGGAATTCACCAACCAATGGGGACTCCACTCAGTTACATACTAGTTTATGTTTTAAATCCTTTGGTTATTCTGTATGGAGAGACCCTTTCACGAGTAGTGATTTTTGGCTTTTCCCCAAATCCCAACTCTGTAGACTTGCCCTGCAGTTTCAGAACTTGAAAAAGGTACATTACAATGGGTCCATTTCTTTTTCTTCCTACAAACCAGTATTCAAAGCACATGTTACCATGGAGTTCATCCTGAAACATTTATACCACCTAAATCTTCATTACCCAAAATCCAAACTAGCCCAAACACTGCAATAGTTCTGATAGTTCTGCACAATGCTGTGAATATTCTTCTCATATCTTCCTGCCTTCTCTGTGGTTATAATGCACCCTTCTGTTTATTTATGTGGTAATAACCCAGTGCAGACTAATTACTATGAATGAGAAATTTGGATCTTAGTCTTGCACCCAGAAGCAGTGGGTAATACTAGAACTACCTATAGAAAATCAATTATGGGCCAGGTGCGCCTGTAATCCTAGCACTTTGGGAAGCTGAGACAGGCAGATCACGAGGTCAGGAGTTCAGGACCAGCCTGGCCAATATGGTGAAATCCCGTCTCTACTGAAAATACAAAAATTAGCCGGGAGTAGTGGCGCACACCTGTAGTCCCAACTACTCAGGAGGCTGAGTCAGAAGAATGGCTTGAACCCAGGAGGCGGGGGTTGCAGGGAGTGGAGATTGCGCCACTGCGCTGCAGCCAGGGAGAACCAGTGAGACTCCTTCTCAAAAAAAAAAAAAAAGAAAGAAAGAAAGAAAGAAAGAAAATCAATTATGAAGAATTAAATGATAAATGTGATAAATGGAAACAGAAAGGTCTATTTTTTAAAAAAGTAATGTAAAAGAATTGAGATTCTTGCTAATCCTAGATGTTGGTTGCATCTGTTGAAATGTAAAGTTCTGAAGACCTTATTAATCACTGTATCATCCATATTCCAACATCATGGCTGGCATATAAGTGGGACTGAAGCAAATCGAAATTGTTCTCAAGCCAAAATGAATTCTTGTCTAGAAAGGAAACATTAACTAAAATTCATAGAAATTTAGTGCAAATCTAACTTTGATTTTAGTGCCAGGGCTCCCGGGGTGTTTGGACTGAGCAACTTTTTGAAAACAACCAAAAGTGCCAGATGAAATATAAAAAGTAACTTTCTTAAAACACTGACAAGCTGATAAAACAGGAAAAAATGATAAGGCTACATCTAAATGTAAACTGGAACTAGATAATTAATTTGAGCATGGAAGCTGATTTTACTCTGAGAGCATTTACTAAATTTGACGTTAAGTTTTCAAAATCCTGGTTTAGGGTACAAAGTGCCAAGTGCAGGCCTGCCCAAGCCTGAAGACTAATAGGAATTCTTCCCTCATAACTCGTTTTACCACATGGGCTACCTTCTCAGGATGAGGGAAAATTAGCAGTAAAGTTCTCTCACACCCTACATACTCTCAGGAACTGCAAGGAATGCTACTTGGAGAATGAACAAAAGATGGCTTCAGAATAAGTGGTCTCAAGGGTTAAAAACAAGTAATTCTAATCTCTCACACACTTTTCCAGAGGAGAGGGAAAAGGAGCGTGCCAGACTTGGTTTTATGCTACCAGATGCCTGATAGAGAGACCCGGGGGAAAATGTACAAGAATAGTAAATTATAGGCCAATCTCACTCATGAACATTGATGCAAAAATTTTAGATATATTAATAGCAAACCAAATCTGTGATATAAAAAGAATAATACTCTTGGAGTAAGCTAATTTACCATTAGAAAGGCAGCTACTATAAATTATTGCATTATTCTAAGAGAAAATTCATATAATCTTTATAATAAAACACTTGATAAAATTGAACACACAGGCAGGATTTAAAAAGGAAAAAAATCTTCTTCATGACTTAAGAATAGAAAGGAAATGTTTTAACCTGCTAAAGAGTGACACTTTGAAAGATCTCCATTTGAGGCGAGGATGCTGTACACAACTATTCAACCTTATCTTGCAGGTCTTCACCTCCACCATAAGACAAAGAGTAAAAACAAAATATGTTGAAATTATAAACAATTGTCATTTTTACAAATGATATGATTGTGTATATAGATAATACAAAACAATCTGCAGTAAAATGTATAAGAAATAATAAGAAAGTTAATTTTTTAGGTATTTATTCCTTATAACAAAGTTAATTGCATATCTATTTACGAAGAACAAGAATTTAAATATAATTTTTAATACCATTTACAATAAGATTAAAAATAGCAAGTATCTGGAAATAAATTTAACAAATATTTATGTGAACTTTACAGAGAAAATTTATGGAATTAAGTCAAGAAAATTAAGAAAATCATTGAATGATAAGACACACATTTTTGTGAATTAAAAGCTCAATATTGTCAATATATCAATTCTACCCAAATTGTTTTATAGAGTCAATGGAATCCCTGTGGAACCCCCAACAGTTATTTTTATAAAAGATGGAAAGCTGATTCTAAAATTTTTATGGAGAAAAGAAGTGTTAAGGACAGTCAAGATTCCCCTGGAGAAGAACAAGATGTGGAAATTGCCTACTAGATAATAAGAGTTGCTATTAAAACTATGGTAATCAAGAATATGTGAATTGGTGGTTGGGTAAAAAATAAACCAAACAGAATAGAAGAGATAACATAGAAACAGACCAACTCATATACGGACATTCGGTGTATGATTTAAAAAGGGACATTTGTTGATCAACAGAGAAGAATGGACTCTTCAAGAAATGATGTTGGCTTAATTTGGAATCCAAGAATAAAGAATACAAACTTGAAACAAGACAAGAATATCCTCAATCACCGCTCCTATTCAACATTTCTCTCTATGTCCTAGCTAGTTCAATAAGACAAGAAAAAAAATTTTTTTAATGTACAGTTTGGAAAGAAAAATACAATTATCTCTATTTGCAGATGACATGATTGTCTATGCAGAAAATATAAGAATCTTAAAAACAAAACACAATAACACAACTCCTGGAATGATAAGCAAGTTGAGCAAGGGCTCAGAAACAAGGTCAATGTATGATAGTAAATGGCTTTGCTATATAATAGCAATCAAGAATCTGAATTTCAAGTTAGGAAATCTGAAATATTTATAATAGCTCCAAAACATCAAAGCACTTTGGTATAAATCTGATAAAATATGTTTAAGACTTACACAAAAACCTGAAAAAACACTAATGAAAGAAACCAAAGAAGATAAACATAATTAGAGGAAATTTGTGTTTATAGATTAGAAGACTCAATATAGCTAAAATGGCTATTCTTTCCAATGTGATCTAAAGATTTAATGCAATCCCACTGAAAACCTCAGTAAGCTTTTTTAATATACAAAGATATCCACAAACTGATAGGAAAATTTATATATAAAGACAAAACTACTAAGGCTGGGAAAGGTGGCTCACACCTGTAATCCCAGAATTGGGGAGGCCTAGGTGGCAGGATTGCTTGAGCCCAGGAATTCGAGATCAGCCTAGACAATATAGTGAGACTCCACCTCTACAAAAAATAAAAGATTAGCTGGGAGTGGTGGCACACACCTGCAGTCCCAGCTACTTGGGAGGCTGAGGCACGGGGATGACTTGAACCCAGGAGGTTGAGACTGCAATGAGCTATGGTCATGCCGCTGCACTTCAGCTTGGGCGACAGAGTAATATCCTGTATCAAAAGAGAAAGAAATGTTGCTTTACAACAAGATACCACACACTTCGCAACTTAAAATAGTGTCTACTTATTAGCTCACTGTCTATAGGTCAGGTCAGGAGCCCAGGCACAGCATGGATGGGTTCTCTGCTCAGGGTCACACAAGGCTAAAATCCAGGTGTCAGTCAGGCTGTGTTCTCATCTGGATCTCAGGATTCTCTTATAAGTCCATGTGGTTGTGGTGGAATTTAGTTTCTTGCGGTTTAGGACTGGGTCCCTGGTTCTTTGCCAACTGTCAGCCGGTGGCCACTCTCAGCTCCTAGAGGCTGCCTACATTCCTTTCCATATGGTCTCTCCATCTTCAGAGCCAGTGATGAAGACTCTCTCTTGCATCAAATCCCTTTCACTTTTTAAATCTTTCTTTATCAGGAAGGATCATATCTCTTTTAAGGGCTCAACTGATTAGGTCTGACCCACTATTTTGAACTGAATTCTGTCCTTCCACCCCCAAATTTATATGTTGAAGTCCTCAGCCCCCAATATGACTATATTTATAGATAAGGCCTTTAAGAAGATAATAAAAGTTACATGAGATCATAAAGGTGGAGTCCTAATCCAACAGGGATGGTGTCCTTATAAAAAGAGGAAGAGATACCACAGGTATTTGCACACAGAGGAAAAGGAGGCATGAGGACTGAGAAGATTGCTGGTCAGGAAGAGAGGCCTCACCAGAAATTAACCCTGACAGCACCCTGATCTTAGAATTCCTGCCTCCAGAGTTGTGAGAAAAAAAAAAAAGAAAGAAAATTCTGTTGTTTAAGCTACCCAGCCTCATGTTCTATTATGGCAGCCTGAGCAGACTAGTATACCCACTAAGAATAATCTATCTTTCTTTAACTGTGCTATTTAATACAACCTAATCACAGGATATCCCATCATATTCACAAGTTTCTCTTACTCTCAACGCCTGGAGATTGTACAAGGGTATGGATAAATAGGGGTCATTTGATTTGTCTGTTGCAATGTCCTCATTTGTAATAGAAAAGAAAATGGAAACAATTCAAATGTCCATCAACAGGAGAATGAATAAACAAACTGTGGTGCGTCCATACAACAGGATAAAATTGAAGAATAAAATAGAAGAACTACTGTCACACACAGCACTTAGAGAAGTGCCGAGTGAAAGAAGCCAGTCTCGAAAGGTTATATACTATGCTATTCTCTTTATATAGCATGTGGCATTCAGAAAAAAGGCAAAGCTATAAGGTTAGATAACTGATCAGTGGTGGTCAGGGGTTGGATGGGAGTATTTGACTTCACATAAGAAATAGGAAGGAGTTCACTGTTTTGATAAGACTGTTTTTTATCCTGATTGTGATGTAGTTACACAAATTTATACATGTGTTAAAACTCATAGAACTGTAGAAAAAGTCAGTTTTACTCTATAATAATTTTAGAATAAAAATTTAAAAATAATTTGCCTCTAAGGATACCTGATAAATTTCATGAAGCTCCAAAGTAAGACTATTGTTAACGTTTTCATTTACTGAGAATAAAGAGCAAACTTTAAAGCCACAGATTTGACATTGAAATTATTAAAATTAAAATTCAGAAAATATTTAGTGATAAAAAACTATGGGATTAATAATTTAAACTTCTTTTTTATTACAACAAAATGCTAAGTTTTCAAGCAAAATCCTCAGGTAATGGCTGCCATTCCAATCCACATTAAAACATGGCCAAATTTACCATCCAAAAAAGGAGTCCTGACTTTTAATAAATTTTCATGAACTACACCTAGAAAATGTTACAGCGTGTTAATCCAGCTACTCATTCATGCTGTTGCCACATTTCTGTTAGTGACACCATCATTTCTACACAGAAACACAAACTCATTCATGCTGTTGCCACATTTCTGTTAGCGACACCATCACACTTCTACACAGAAACACATTTTATTTCAAAGCTAATATCAAATTAATAACTGCAAGTGTTATATTGCTCTAAAATCAAGAAAGTCACCACAGTTGTCCAGCTGATGTATTAATGAGGAAATTAATTCTGCCAGCAACATGAAATGCATTTAAAAAAATGAACTTTGAGCAACCTAAAAGTCAACTGATCTTCATTTCACTTGAATTTACCCTTGTTGCACTGGGACCTCTGGCTGGGGACCAGCCTGTTGCTACTACTGTTATTGTGAGACTTCTAGCCTGTGTCTTTAATGAGGGGCAGATGATTGGAGGAGTCTGCAAGGCTTTCCAAATACGTTTTTCTTTCCTCTTGTACAGCTCCTGTGGAGCAAGAACCTGAAAAACTACTACTCTTATATGAATGAGACAGGTATGGTAAATTCATGCCTTTGTGAATAAAAGTGTAAAGCTAGCAACCAATTTGTCACTTAGAAGAAGCTATATCAAGATATTAAAAGCACCATCTTCAGTTTAAAGGGGTCCACTTTGTCCAACTTAAGAACCTCCACTAGGTCAGGGAGTGTTAGTACCTGAAAGAGCTAGATCACAGAGGAGAAATGTGAGAGAAGAGTCAGGAAATGGCAACAGGATTCCAAGGTACAGTGGATAAGGGTATGGATCATACTGTAAGCTGTTCTTTCTTACTGTTCTTTCTCTCTTGGTTGTGAAGTATCTATGTTGTCTGTTTTCATTGATCAAATAATGGCATCCCTACAAAAATTCACTTTACCCATTGCTCTGTGATTATAGTAGAGCTGGTGTATTGTAACATGGGCCTTCATTTATCCCTAAGGTAGAGAACACCAACATTTTTGCAGAGTAAATGAAGGGAATACATTGAATTCAGAAGAGATTACCTAATAAATGAGTGCACCACCTTCTGGAGCATTGTGTAAGTGTAGATTGAGTATAAATGGCCTTCAGTGGAGTGTGTAAATAATTCATTAGGCAGGAAATGAGAATCAGCCATTTTACTATTAGAAACATAGTGATATTCCTTTTTTCTTTATAAGGAAGGCTTTCATGACAGATGAGAATCATTCATCTCATCAAATGTCTTTTCTGCCTTTTGAAAAAGTGCAATGCAAATGCATTTTCCCTTCTTCCTCTTTATGAATGTGAATTCTTATTACACACATTTTATTGTTGGTAGACAGAAACTATAACCCTGGCTTTAGAACGAACATGACACTCTCCAGGGGTTTACTATAAATAAAGCGTGTCTTGTCACTTCTCTGACCTTATATGTAACAATTTAGCCCCCTCCCCCAACATATTAAGGTTTACCACCCAACACTTCTAGCATAGGGTTTTAATTCACTACAGTGGAAAATGGTTTTGTCAAAGTACCTAAACTGGGGAATCTGCACTGGAGCAGCATCAATTTACTAGATTTTTTCCCAGTTTTTCCAACCAATAAATAGTAGTTTCCCTAAAATTGCCTGAGAGCAATGAACACATCATCATGTATATGCATATACACGAACACACACCTATGTATATGTTGTGTTAACATTTTTCAAATTTAAATAATGTTAAGAGAAGATTCATTAACTTAATAATTGGTTATTATTTCTTTAGCGTAAGGGAGAAAAAGGAAAAAAAGAGAGGGATTAGGACAAGTTAATTTGAAAAAATAAGCCTAGGAGAGGGATGTCATGAGAAAATCTCCCCCTCTGGCTTGCAGAGCGTACCAACAGAGCTGCTAGTAAATCTTGCACAAGAGATTCTGGGAAGATGGGGCTGGAAAAGTTCTCAGATGGCAGCACCACATCCACCGAGTCACCACCACATTCACCCAGCATATTATGGCTCACAGAAGCCTCCTAGCATTATGTTACAACAAAGTGTTTATCAGTATCTCTCCTTGGATTTTGTGATTACTACCATTTTTGTTTTATTGTTTTACGTTTTCTATGATGTGCAAATGATTCAAATATTAAACATCTTTAAAACTACCATTCAGACTCTTGGAGTTGTTAATATAGATCCAATTTACTGTCACTTTTTAGTGAGTTCCTCCTCAAAACTGTTAGCACTTTAACAGAGTGACATTTATTGATTTATCATGATTATATGAAGAATATTATTAGGGAAATTAGATAACGTAGAAGGGCAAAAACAGATACTAATAATAATGGCTAAGTGCTTTATTTGTGCTTGACCAATTTTAAGTATTAAATGCATTAACTAAGGCCGGGCGGGGTGGCTCACATCTGTCATCCCAGCACTTTGGGAGGCCAACGTGGGTGGATCACCTAAGGTCGGGAGTTTGAGACCAGCCTGATCAACATGGAGAAACCCTGTCTCTACTAAAAATACAAAATTAGCCAGGTGCGGTGGCACATGCCTGTAATCCCAGCTACTCAGGAGGCTGAGGCAGGAGAATCACTTGAACCCAGGAGGCGGAGGTTGTGGTGAGCCAAGATCACACCATTGCCCTCCAGCCTGAGCAATAAGAGTGAAATTCCATCTCAAATAAATAAATAAATAAATAAATACAAATGCATTAACTAATTTACCCTTCACTCAACCACATATGTAGGTATATCATTATCTCCATTTTATAAGTGAGAAATCAGAGGCCTTGAACAACTAGGTGATATGGCTATGGTAAAATAGATAGATATACAGCCAGGATTTGGGCCTAATGAGCAGAGCTCCAGAGCTTGTGCGTTTAACCACTTTAATTCGTCTTAAATATGCGTGGGTGTATGTATGTGTGTGTGCATATGTGTATGTGTGTGTGGATGTGTGTGTGTGTGTGTTGGGCACATGACTAGTGGGTGCGAGCAATATATAACTTAAAGTTTGTAGCCCGAAGCTGCTTTAAAATCCTGTCAAAAGGATCAGTATGGTATTCTTCCCTTGACACTAGATGGACATTTTGGCAGATTCTATTATTTTTCTGCATCTTCTGTCCAACGAAATCTCTCAATATAAAGCCCTTACACTTACCCACTGCTGCAATCAAAATCTTCCCCTGTCTATATCTAATTCATCCTGGATTTTATCAAACATCCAATAGTTTTATCTATCTGAAAAGAGAAATTTGTATTTTCATTTTGACTTTTTTCTTTGTGTTTAAGTTTAAAGCATCTTGTCATAGGCTTTTCTTTTTTTTAATTTTCTTTTTTTTGTTATACTTTAAGTTTTAGGGTACATGTGCACAATGTACAGGTTTGTTACATATGTATACATGTGCCATGTTGGTGTGCTGCACCCATTAACTCGTCATTTACATTAGGTATATCTCCTAATGCTATCCCTCCCCCCTTCCCCCACCCCACAACAGGCCCCAGTGTGTGATGTTCCCCTTCCTGTGTCCATGTGTTCCCATTATTCAATTCCCACCTATGAGTGAGAACATGCGGTGTTTGGTTTTTTGTCCTTGCGATAGTTTGCTGAGAATGATGTATAAGATAACTTTCCATAGTAAGGATGTTCATCTTCTTTCATGTATGGTGCAAATATTTTCCTGGGTTTTTAAATTTGTTTTGTGATTTATACTTGGATATTTTCTTCTATATAGACTGTTACTAACAATCATTTTTTTAGTAGCTTCTGCATCTGCCTTCAAATATTAAGAAGTTTTTGCCTTCAGTAAACATTTATTGAAATAAGATATGGACCCCTGTGGAGCTTGTAATCCAGTGGAAGGACCAGAGATGAAGAATGATCACAGCACAGTGTGACAAGCACAGAACAAAGTGCTATGGAATCAAAGAGAGAAACTATTACATTCAAATTGTTACATTATTACTAGGGGGTTGATAGTTACAGAGAATATTTTCATAGGGTTTAAAATATGGCTGACAGTGGAGTGAAAAGAGAAGCAATAGAAGGGAGCAGCAAGAAGTGAAGCTCAAGCAGCAGAAAGAAGCCAAATTGTCAGACACATCTTTTTCCTCTTGAAGATTTGGATCTTATATCATAGTGATGAGAAAAGGGCCTACTCCATGCATTCTTGTCTCTCATTTGCTCCAACTCCAACCTTGACTTTGCTCTTTCTCTCTATATTGAACCACCAATGATTCCTTAAGATGATATGTGTTCTCATCCTGAATTTTGCACACAATATCTTAATCTTTGTGTGCACTTATTTTTCACTGGTCTGTATGGCCATGTTCACATCTTTATGCTTTCCCCTCCTCAAATGGAACAACTGTTCCCTTCATGAACTAGCATTCTCCCTGGGCATAAGCCTTCCTTAGCATCCAGTACCTGAGCTGTAATCATTTTCACTCACATGTAGCAAAAGGCTAAGCTATTTGACATAATGTACTTTCAATTCCACAGTAGTAGCAATGCTTAACAAATAGTAGGCACTGGATGAGTCTTTACTAAATAAACAATTGGGTGAATGAGTGAGTGAGTAGTTTAATTGGAATACTGTTCCGGCTGAACCATGGAGCCATGGACTTGAAAGGACAAGTTGTCCAGATGATTTTACTCTGCTGGAAATTTCTTGAACATTCTCTAAGAGAAACTTCTTTACTATGGAAAATAAGGCTCTCTCACTAAAAGATTACTATATGCACAGATAGTTAGATTAAATAAAATATAGTCTGTATATACACGGACTCTAGAAACAAGGATATAATATATGGATTTTAGGAAGTCTACAAGGACTGGGTCATTAGGCAGTAGGAAATGGGGACACACTCACATCAAGGGAGTGGCATGATTAGAACTGTAGCAGAGGCAGTTAACGGGGTGAACACATTAGATGATAGTTCCAAAGAAGAAGTAATAAAGGCAGGAACTAGAGCACTAGCAGTAAAAACAGACAGATAAAGATGGATTTTAACAATTAACAAATATTTATTGAACTCTGAAAACACTAATGTGAATACTATGAAGAAATTTTTATAGTATTGGTTGGTAAATTATGCTTAGTCTCCAACGTTTCTACATTCTGACCTTGTTCTGTGCTCTGCGGGGCTGATCTCAATGGAAAGTGTCTCTGGATTTCCCTTATCCCTTATTGGCTTTGACTAACTGGGGGGCGGGGTACCAGCAGGAGACCCAAAGGAGGAAGGTGAAGTATTTACCTCTTTCCCACCCTAGCTCCTTCTTCATCTCACTTGGGTTTTGGCAGCAGCAGTGTCCTGCCAAGGCCACAGCTTATTTTCAGAAGCCCCTAGTCCATATAACCAGGGATCATCAGACTCTGCTAACACCATGCTGCCTCAAGCATGGAAGACAATGTCTATCAACTGAAGCTAGTCCTTGGGGACCTTATGGTTCTTAGTTGATTCTATAAACCTTTCCAAAACTGTGGAAACTGTCCCTTCATTAAATTATGTTCAATTTGACCGTTTGAGGGAGGCTTTATCTCTCCCTCTGGGAGCCTGTTTATTACTCTTATAAATCCAAAGGTACTTTTAAGAAAATAGACAATACCAGCTATGGAAATGGAGCTATCATTAGTAGAATTTAGGTTTTTAATTATTTACTAATAATCGCCACAAAGATAACACACTAATGTTATTTGTTTGTGAACAAACTGAGCAGATTCTGAGTTCTCTAACTATACATCCCTTGCCCTCTATTTTCAATGGATCACCCTACAACCAAGCATCTTAAATTCTGAAGCTCTGGCCAGGCACGGTGGCTCACGCCTGTAATCCCAGCACTTTGGGAGGCCGAGGTGGGTGGATCTTGAGGTCAGGAGTTCAGGGCCAGCCCGGCCGAGATGGTGAAACCCCATCTCTACTAAAAATACAAAAATTAGCCAGGCGCAGTGGCAGGCGTCTGTGATCCCAGCTACTCGGGAGTCTGAGGCAGGAGAATTGCTTGAACCCAGGCGGTAGAGGTTGCAGTGAGCTGAGATCGCACCACTGCACTCCAGCCTGGGCGATAGATTGAGACTCCGTCTCAAAAAAAAAAAAAAAAAAAAAAAAGTTCTGAAGCTCTGAGATCATCTTTACATATAATTTCTTTCCATCCCCATGAATAGCCAATTGACAAGACTAGTCATCTTTCTCTACAGCATTGCTAAATTTTATGCCAAGCCCCTTATTCAAGTCTGAATTCTGATTCTCTCTAAACCACACCATAGCATGTCCTGAACTTGAAATTGTTTTTTAACTGTTGTTTCAGGTATGTTGTATTGTTACTCACAGAAGTCCAGGAGCATCCTGGGGTTAGATACAAATTTGTGACTAACTTTCAAATTTTCATCTATATTTCAGTGTTAATAATGTATTTGACTTTATTTCTCCCTCTTTTCACCCTGTGTGATCGTTAATACTGTTAACTTGATTAGATTGAAGGATGCAAAATATTGTTTCTGGGTATGTCTGTGAGGTTATTGCCAAAGGAGATTAACATTTGAATCAGTGCCCTGGGAGAGGCAGACCCATCCTCAATCTGGGAATGCACAATCTAATCAGCTGCCAGCAAGGCTAGAATAAAGCAGGCAGAAGAATGTGGAAGAACTAGACTGGCTGAGTCTTCCGGCCTTCATCTTTCTCCCATACTGGATGCTTCCTGCCTTCGAACGTCAGACTCCACGTTCTTCAGCTTTTGGACTCTTGGATTTACAGCAGTGGTTTGTCAGGGACTCTCAGACCTTTAGCCACAGACTGAAGGCTGCACTGTAGGCTTCCCTAGTTTTGAGGTTTGGGGATTTGGACTGGCTTCTTTGCTCCTCAGCTTGCAGACGGCCTATTGTGGGACTTCACCTTGTGACTGTGTGAGTCAATACTCCCTAATAAACTTCCCTTTATATATACATCCACCCTATTAGTCCTGTCCCTCCAGAGAACCCTGACTAATACACCCTGAAAACTCTATTTTTGTTACTCTCTCAGAATGAGCTTCCCTTTTTAAATATAACGACCTCTAAATAAACCAACCCAAATTTATGGGTATGATTCCTAATTTTTGTACAGAAACCATAATTATCCACTCCTTTTAAAAATATAATTTCGCATGATGGTATGTGCCCATCCCCCAAGGCTCTTTATCTTGTTCTAAGTATCTGAAAACCCTGCTCACTGCCAGGTGGGAAGACAGCAGGGCTGCTATTGCTGTTGGACTGACGCATATCTTTGGAAACAATGAAAACCAAGACAAAATATACCAAAATCTCTGGAATGCAACAAAAGCAGTGTTAAGAGGAAAGTTTATAACACTAAATGCCCACATGATGAAGTCAGAATGATCTCAAATGAACATTCTAATATTACACCCAGAGGAACTAGGAAAGTAAGAGCAAATCAACCCCAAAGCTAGCAGAAGAAAAGGAATAACTAAAATCAGAGACAAGCTAAACAAAATTGAGATGCGATAATTCACGCAAAGAATCAAAAAAAGATAAGTTGGTGTTTTGAAAGAATAAACAACACAGATAATCACTAGCTAAATTAACAAAAAAAGAGAGAAAATGCAAATAACTGCAAACAGAAATGACAAAGATAACATTACAACTGATGCTGCAGAAATACAAAAGATCCTCAGAGACTGTTATGAACACCTCTATGCATAGAGACAACAGAATCTACAGGAAAAGGATAAATTTCTGTAAACATACAACCTCCCCAGATCAAATCAGGAAGAAATTGAAAGCTTGAACAGACCAATAATGCATTATTAAATTGAAACAGTAATAAAAACCTACCGACCAAAAAAAGCCCTCTACCAGATAGATTCACAACTGAATTCTACCAGATATGCAAAGAGGAGCTGTTACCAATCACACTGAAACTATTCCAAAAAATTGAGGAGGAGTGTTTCCTCTTTAATTCATTCTATGAAGCCAGCATTATCCTGATACAAACATCTGGAAAAGGCACAACAAAACAAGAAAACTAATGGCCAATACATCAGATGAACATAGATGCAAATATCCTCAACAAAACACTACTAAACTGAATACAGCAGGACATCGAAAAGTTAATTAACCATGATCAGGAAGGCATAATTCCTGGGATCCAAGTTTGGTTCAACATACGAAAATCAATAAAGGTGGTTCACCGCATAAACAGAATGGGGAAAGGATTCCCTATTTAATAAATGGTGCTGGGAAAACTGGCTAGCCATATGTAGGAAACTGAAACTGGACCCCTACCTTACACCTTATACAAAAATTAACTAAAGACAGATTAAAGACTCAAATGTAAAACCCCAAACCATAAAAACCCTAGAAAAAAATCTAGGCAATATCATTCAGGACATAAGCATGGGCAAAGATTTTTATAATAAAATATCCAAAAGCAATTGCAACAAAAGCTAAAATTGTCAAATGGGATCTAATTAAACTAAAAAGCTTCTGCACAGCAAAAGATACTATCATCAGAGTGAACAGGCAGTCTACAGAATGGGAGAAAATTTTTGCAATCTACTCATCTGACAAAGGTCTAATATCCAGAATTTACATGGAACTTAAATTTACAAGAAAAAAAAAAACGTATGACCAAACTGAAATAAATAAATAAATAAATAAATAAAAACATTGAATTCATTCAAATCAAATTATTGGTATCTAGCCTCTCAGCCATAAGGAATCACTGAATGTTAAAAATGTGTGGAAATTTAACAGATAAGGAAACCAAGGCCTTTAGCACTAATATAGCCTAAAATCATGCTGCTAGTAGTCTTAGAATATAAATCACAACACATGTCTTCCTTGGAATCAACAGAAATGCCCATTGACAGTAGACTGGATGAAGAAAATGTGTACATATACACCATAGAATACTACATAGCCATAAAAAAGAATGAGATCATGTCCTTTGCAGCAACATGGAAGGAGCTAGAGGCCCTTATTCTGAGCAAACTAATGCAGAAGCAGGAAATCAAATACCACATGTTCTTACTTATGAGTGAGAACTAAATATTGAGTACCCATGGACACAAAGAAAGGAACAATAGACACTAGGACTTACTTGAGGGTGGAGGGTAGGAGGAGGATGAGTATTGAGAAACTACCTATCAGATAATATGCTTATTACCTGGCTGATCAAATAATCTGTACACCAAACCCCCGTGAAAAATAAAACAGAACACACACACACACACACACACACACACACACACAAATCATCTCCATCAGAAAGTGGGCAAAGGACATGAGCAGACAGTTCTCAAGAGAAGACATTAATGTGGCCAATAAACATGGAAAAAAAGCTCAACATCACCGATCATTAGAGAAATGTAAATCAAAACCACAATGAGATACCATCTCAAGCCAGTCAGAATGGCGACTATTAAACAGTCAAGAAACTACAGATGCTGGCGAGGCTGTGGAGAAATGGGAATGCTTTTATGCTGTTGATGGGAATGGAAATTAGTTCAACTACTGTGGAAGACAGTGTGGCAATTCCTCAAGGATCTAGAACCAGAAATACCGTTTGATTCAGCAATCCCACTACTGGGTATATACCCAAAGGAATATAAATTAATTTATTATAATGACACATGCACACATATGTTTATTGCCGCACTATTCACTATTCACAATAGCAAAGACATGGAACCAACCCAAATGACCATCGATGATAGACTAGATAAAGAAAATGTGGTACATATATACCATGGAATACTATGTAGCCATAAAAAAGAATGAGATCATGTCATTTGCAGGGACATGGATGAAGCTGGAAGCCATCATCCTCAGCAAACTAATGCAGGAACAGAAAACCAAACACCACATGTTCTCACTCATATGTGGGAGCTGAACAATGAAAACACACGGACACAGGGAGGGGAAGAACACACACTAGAGCCTGTTAGGGGGGCGAGGGCAGGGAGAGCATCAGAACAAATAGCTTATGCATGCAGGACTTAATACATAGGTGACAGGTTGATAGGTGCAGCAAACACCATAGCACACGTTTACCTATGTAAAAAAACCCGCACATTCTGCACATGTATCCCAGAACTTAAAGTAAAATAAAATTTTAAAAAGTTATATGATCATCTCAATAGACACAGAAAACCTTCTGATAGAATACAACATTTTTTCTTGATAAAGACTCTCTACAAACTATTCATTAAAGGAACATTCCTCAAGATAATAAGAGTCATCTACACACAGCCAACATCAAGCTGAAAGGACAAAAGCTAAAAGTATTCTCTGTTAGGGAACAGGAACAAGCAAATGATGTCCACTCTCACCACTCCTATTCAACATAGTACTGGATGTCCCAGTCAGAGCAATCAGGCAGGAGCATAAAATAAAAGACATACACATATAAAAAGAAGTCAAATTATCTCTCTTCACTGATGATATGATTCTACACTTAGAAAACCCTAAAGACTATGACAAGAGGCTCCTAGACCTAATAACTGACTTCAGTAAAATTTCTGGATATAAAATCTATGTATAAAAATCAGTAGCATTTCTATACACCAACAACATTCAAGTTTATAGTCAAATCAAGAAAGCAACTACATTTACAATAGCCACAAAAAAATTAAATGCCTAGAAATATATCTAACCAAGGAGGTGAAAAACCTCTACAAGAAGAACTATACAAAACATTGCTGAATGAAATCATAGATGACACAAACAAATGGAAAAACATTCCATGCTCAGGGATTAGAAAAATCAATGTCACGAAAACGTCCATATTGCAAAAAGCAACCTCAAGATTCAACACTACTCCCACCAAACTATCAACATCATTTTTCACAGAATTAGAAAAAAACGATTCTAAAATTTATATGGAACTGAAAAAGAGCCTGAAGAGCCAAAGTAATCCTAACCACAAAAAAAAAAAAACAACAAAGCTGGAGGTATCACATTACCTGACCTCAAACTCTACCATGAGGCTACAGTAACAAAACAACATGGTACTGCTACAAAAAGAGACACGTAGACAAAAGTAACAGAATTGAGAACCTAGAAATAAAGCCATACACTGACAATAAGCTGATCTGTGACAAAGTTGACAAAAATATGCAATGGATCAAGGACTCCTTATTCAATAAATGGTACTGGGATAACTAGGTAATCACATACAGAGGAATTAAACTGGACCCCTTCTTATCATCATATACAAAAATTAAGTCAAGATGGGTTAAACACTTAATGGTAAGATCTACAATGCTAAAAATCCAAGAAGAAAACCTAGGACTTACCCTCTGGACATTGGCCTTTGCAAAGAATTTATGAGTAAGTTTTCAAAAGTAGTTGCAACAAAAGCAAAAATTGACAAGTTGGACTCAATGAAACTAAAGAGCTTCTGCACAGCCAAAGAAGCTATCAATTGATCAACCAGATTATCTACAGAATGGGAGAAAACGTTCACAAACTATGCATGTGACAAAGAACTAATATCCAGAATCTATGAAAAATGTAAACAAATAAACAAGTAAAAAGCAAATAACCCCATTAATATGTGGGCAAAGTATGTAAACAGACGCTTCTCAAAGGAAGACATACAGGTGGCCAACAACTATATTAAAAATACTCAACAACACTAATCATCAGATAAATACAAATCAAAACCACAATGAGTTACCATCCCACTCCAGTCAGAATGGCTATTAGTGAAAAGTCAAAAAATGACACATGTTGGCGAGGCCGTAGAGAAAAGAATGCTTATACATTGTTGCTGGAAATGAAAATTATTTCAGCCACTGTAGAAAGTAGGTTGGAGACTTCTTAAAGAATTAAAAATACAACTATTATTTGACACAGCAATCCCGTTACTGTGGTATATCCAAAAGAAAATAAATTGTTCTGCCAGAAAAACACATGCACTCATATGTTCTATTAGTCCACTTTGTGTTGCTACAAAGGAGTACCTGGGGCTGAGTAACTTATAAAGAAAAGAGATTTATTTTACTCATGGTTCTGCATGCTGTATACACATGGCACCAGCATCTGCTTGGCTTCTAGTGAGGACTCAGAAAGGTTTTACTCATGGAGGAAAGGAAGAGGGAGCAAGCATGTGACGTGGAAAGAAAGCAAGCAAGCAAGAGAGAGATGAGGGAGGGTACCAAGCTATTCATGAGGGAACCACCTCATTACCCAAACACCCCCACCAGGCCCCACCTCCAACATTGGGGATGACATTTCAATATGAGATTTGAAGGGAACAAATATCCAAACCATACTTTTTTGCCCCTCATCCCCCAAACCTCATTTCTTTCTAACATTTCAATATATAATCTACCTTTCTAATAGCACCTAAACTCATTGCAGCATCAACCCAAAAACTCAAAATCCAAAGTCTCATCTGAAACTCAAGGCAAGTTCCTTACAGGTATGATCTTGTCAAATAAAAAAACAAGTTATTTACTCCCAAGATACAATGATGGCACAGGTGGCATTGGGTAAACATACTCATTCTGAAAGGGAGAAATCAGGCAAAAGAAAGGGGCAACAAGCCTCACACAAGTCTGAAACCCAGCAAGGCAGACATTAAATATTAAAGCTCCAAATAATGTCCCTTGACTCCATATCCTGCTTTCTGGACACACTGGTGTAAGGGGTGGGCTATCAAGGCCCTGGACAGCCTTACCGTCGTGGATTTGCTGGACATAGCCCACATGGCTGCTCTCATGGGTTGGACTCTGATGCCTACAGGTTTTCCATGCTGAGGCTGAACGCTGCTGCTGATTCTACCATTCTGGAATCTGGAGGTCAACAACCCTGTTTCCACAGTTCCACTAGATGGGGATTCTGCATGGTGCCTTCAGCCCCATATTTTCCCTTGGCACTGCCCTGGCAGAAGTACTCTGTGGGGGCTGCATCCCTGTGGCAGGCTACTTCCTGTGCACTCAAGCTTTCTAATACATCTTCTGAAATCTAGGTGGAACCTGCCAAGCCTCCCTCACTCTTGTAATATTTGTTCCTGCAGGCTTAATACCACGTGGAAACTGCTAAGGCTCATAGTAGCTTGCACTCTTCAAAGCAGCATTCTGAGACGTACCTGGGGCCCTTTGAGTCAAGCCTAGAGCTAGAGAAGCTGGAATGCAGGGATCAGACTCCCAAGATGGTTCAACGCAGTGGCACCCTGACCCTGGCCTTAAAACCATTATTTTCTCCTAGGCCTCTGGTCCTGTGATAAGATGGACTTTCCTGAGGACTTCTGAAATGACTTCTAGGCCTTTAATCTATCAAGTGTTTGCTTAACAGGCTTCTTTTTCCTTGTCTGTGACATGGCCAGGCTGCTAATTTTCCAAACTTTAATGCTCTGCTTCCCTTTTAAATTCAAGTTCCAACTTTAAGTCATTTCTTTGCTCCCAAATCAGATTGTTAGATGCAGGCATGTCATTTTTTAATGCTTTGCTGCTTAGAAATTTCTTCTCCAGATAACCTAGGTCATTATTCTTAACTTCAACCTTCTGTGAATTCCTAGGGCATGGACACAATACAGCCAAGTTCTTTGCCCTGAGAACAACACAGGTTACCTTTACTCCAATAGCTTCCTCATTTCCATCTGGGACCTCATCAGCATTACCTTCACTGTCCATATTTCTATCCGCAGTTTGGTCACAACCATTTACCAGTCTGTATGAAATTCCAAACTTTCCCTCATCTTCCTGTCTTCTTCCAAACCCTCCAAACTCTTCTAACCTCTGCCTGTTTTCTAGCTCCAAAGTCACTTATACATCTTCTAGTTATCTTTTTAGCAAAACCTCACTCCTTCATACCAATTTAATGTATTAGTCCATATTGTGTTGCTATCAAGGAATACTCATGGCTGGGTAATTTATAAAGAAAATAGGTTTATTTGGCCCACAGTTCTTCAGGCTGTGTAAGCATAGCACCAGAATCTGCTCAGGTTATGCTGAGGCCTCAGGAAGGTTTTACTCATGACAGAAAGGAAGGGGGAGCAGGTGTGTCATATTGCAAGAGAGTGAGCAAGAGAGAGAGGAGGGAGAGTACCAAGCCATTCACAAGGAATCTACCCCCATTATTCAAACACCTTCCACCAGGCCCCACCACCAACACTGGAGATTACATTTCAACATGACATTTGGAGGGGGAATTTATCCAAACCATATCATGTATTCATCATAGCACTATTCATAATAGCAATGCCATGAAATCAACCTAGGTGCCCATCAATGGTGGATTGGATAAAGAAAATGTAGTACATATACATCATGGGTATACTATGCAGCCATACAAAAGAATGATGTCGTGTCCTTTGCAACAATATGAATGCAGCTGGAGGCCATTAGCCTCAGTGAATCAACAAAGAAACAGGAAACAAAATACTGCATGAAATATTTGGTACACATGGGCATAAAAATGGGGACAACATAGGGAGAAGGGGTGCAAATATTTCAAAACTACCTATTAGGTACTATGCATACTACTCAACATATCCATGTAACAAACCTGCACAGGTACCTCCTGAATCTAATATAAAAATTGAAATTACAAAAAAGAGAAGATACTTTTTCACTTAAAATCATACAGTCTAGAACATTTTGGATTAACTAATGGTAGTTTAGTACAACCATTAATATATTTTTAATTATTAAAAGACTATATTTTAGATTAGTTTTAGGTTCACAGCAAAATTGAGAGGAAGATATAGATTTCCCATTTACTCCCTGCCCTCACATATGCACAGACTCCCTGGTTATCATCATCCCTCATCAGAGTGCAACACTTTTTACAATTCATAAAACTATGTTGGCACATTGTAAACATCCAAAGCCCATAGTTTTCTTAAGGTTTACTCTTGCTGTTGTACATTTTATGGGTTTAGACAAATGTATAAATACATGTATGTATTTATACATGTATTCATTATTATGGTATTATACAATGTATTTTCATTGCCCTAAAAAGTCCCCTGTTCTTCACCTGTTAATCACTTCTCCAACATTCATATCTTGGCAATCACTGATCTTTTTGCCCTCTACACAGTTTTTTCTTTTCCAGAATGTCATAGTTAGAAGGAGTATGTATTCAGATTAGCTTCTTGCACTTAGTAATATACATTTAAGCTTCCTCCATATCTTCTCATGGCTTGATAATTTATTTCTTTTTAGCACTGAATATTATTTCATTGTCTGGATGTATCACTATGTACTTATCCATTCACCCACTGAAGTACATCTTAGTTGTTTCCAAATCTGGGCAATTATAAATAAAACTGCCACAAACCTCCATGTCCAGGTTTTCAGTAGACATAAGTTTTTAACTCCATGGGAAACTACCAAAGAGCGTGATTATTTGATTGTGTTATATGAGTATGTTTAGTTTACTTTTATGAAAAACTACCGAACTGTCTTCCAAAGTGGCTGTTTCATTTTGCATTCCCACCAGCAATAAATGAGAGTTCTTGTTGCTCCTTAACCTCATCAACATTTGATGTTGTCAGTGTTCCAGATTTTAGCCATTGTAATAGGTTTGCAGTAGACCATTCACTTTTTACTGTTTTCTCATTTAGCTTGCCCTAATTAACCTCATTTTTTTCAACCAGTAGAATTGCCTCTTTACACATAGCTTTCTGACTAGAGCTACCTGTGAAGGAGACTGCCTCTGAGGAGAGAAAACAAAGGAGGAAATAACCAGGGCTTCCTGCATGCTAAAACGGGGGTCACTATTAGTAATTCTAATTCCAGAAATGCTGTGCCAGAAGAAATGAGACAACACTGGGGAATCAGGAGAATAGAGATTATAAATCAAGGGATTAAAAAATCAGGAATGCATTCTGAAAGAGTTAAGCAGAGGTAGGAACAAAGAGAAAGGCAAGACAGGAAATGAAGTATAATAGTATGTGCAATGGACATTTTTTCAGTCCTGTCTACAGTGATTTATCTACTAAATGTGGGGCTGTTGAGGAGTCTATTCTATCATCTGGCACTCTGTGAGGTGCTTCTAAGTCACTGCTTCTTTAGATCTGTCCATCAAAAAGTTACTGGAGTGGGGCTATAGGCTGTCACCCCACAGGTGTTGCAGAAGACCTTACAAGTCCAGAATAGCCTGAACCACACACTGTGCCTCAGCATTCCTTCCCCAATGACTGAAATTAGTAAGTTGTGAAGAGGAGTGGGGTTGAACAGTTGTCTGTGAGAGATTAGAGTTATGACGCATCAGAGCTTAACAGAAGAAAGGAAAACTGGCACACAAAATAAGAAATCAGAGTAGAAGCCACCTCTTGTGTGTGAAACCCAAATCCAGGTAGTCTTCAACTTAAGATACAAATAGAATATCAGATGTAAAACTTGCAGAAGTAAAATATTTGCCAGATCTTTGTATGAGGCCAATATGTTACCAGTATTTGTCAAGATCTTATTAAGATGAGAAGGTAGATCTTGTGACTGAGTCTACAATTTGAGTAATCTTAGCATCTGCAGCTGAGTAAAGTTCTGTAAGATCAGGATGGACAGTTTCTATTAACTTAAGGAGCACAAAATGAATAGAATGATGATGGCTCAATGTTGCAGGAAGTCAGGGACCCTGAACGGGGGGACCGGCTGAAGCCATGGTGGAAGAACATAAATTGTGAAGATTTCATGGACATTTATTAGTTCTCCAAATTAATATTTTTATAATTTCTTACGCCTGTCTTTACTGCAATCTCTGAACATAAATTGTGAAGATTTCATGGACACTTATCACTTCCCCAATCAATACCCTTGTGATTTCCTATGCCTGTCTTTACTTTAATCTCTTAATCCCATCATCTTTGTAAACTGAGGAGGATGTATGTCACCTCAGGACCCTGTGATGATTGCGTTAACTGCACAAATTGTTTGTAGAGCATGTGTGTTTGAACAATATGAAATCTGGGCACCTTGAAAAAAGAACAGGATAACAGCAATGTTCAGGGAACAAGGGAGATAACCTTAAACGCTGACTGCCAGTGAGCTGGGCGGAACAGAGCCATATTTCTCTTCTTTCAAAAGCAAATGGGAGAAATATCGCTGAATTCTTTTTCTCAGCAAGGAACATCCCTGAGAAGAGAATGCGTCCCTGAGGGGAGGCCTCTAAAATGGCCGCTTTGGGGGCGGCTGTCTTTTACGGTTGTTGCTGTGGGATGAAATAAGCCCCGGTCTCCCATAGCACTCCCAGGCTTATTAGGATGAGGAAATTCCCGACTAATAAATTTTGGTCAGACTGGTTGTCTGCTCTCAAACCCTGTCTCCTGATAAGATGTTATCAATGACAATGTGTGCCCAAAACTTCATTAGCAATTTTAATTTCGTCCCAGTCCTGTGGTCCTGTGATCTCGCCCTGCCTCCATTTACCTTGTGATATCTTATTACCTTGTGAAGCATGTGATCTCTGTGACCCACACACTATTCATACACTCCCTCCCCTTTTGAAAATCACTAATAAAAACTTACTGGTTTTACGGCTCGGGGGCATCACGGAACCTGCCGTCATGTGATGTCTCTCCCGGACACCCAGCTTTAAAATTTCTCTCTTTTGTACTGTGTCCCTTTATTTCTCAGACTGGCCAACACTTAGGGAAAATAGAAAAGGACCTACGTGTAATATCAGGGGTGAATTTCAGCCAATAGCTCAATATTCATTGGTAAACCAAATAGACACTAGAATTTAATTACAATAGAGATTGTCACTAATTTTTGTTGACTTAAGAAAATGCATGCTTACTGAAACTATTCATTTGTTCTATTTTCCATTCGCATCTCATAGTTTTTTCTTTTGGTATGTTAAACTTGGGAATTCCCACATGTTTTTCTTTGGATAGGATTTGAGTCACTCTGTCCAGATGGGAAATTGAATCATATGGTGTTTTCACTGCATGAAGTGAAAATCTAGATACCATAAGAGTGACTGGCCAACTGCTCAGATAGCACCATCAAGTCTGCAGATTTGCTAGTCTTTTCAAGAGCTGCTCTTCATCATGGAAATTTATTTTCTAGCAGAGTACTATTCTGATTTTCTTGGAAAGAGAAAAAAAGGAAAAGAGTGGAACAAAAGAGGAATACTTAAAAATTCAGTACTTGCTTTTTACTGTAGGTCTCTGACTAAACTTCTCTCTTTCTAGAATTACAAAAATTAAAAGGGACTACCCTCCCTTTTCTTTTATTTCAATTTATGTGGTTTCAGTCACTTCCAGTAAATGGAGATCTAAAAATATTAAATGAAAAATGCTAGAAATAAACAATTCATAAGTTTTAAGTTGCCCATTGTTTAAGTAGCATAATGAAATCTCATCTGTCCCTCTCCTTCTGGCCTGGGATGTGAATAATCCCTTTTTCCAGCATATCTACACTCTCTATGCTCCCCACCTGTTAGTCACTTGGAAATCATCTTCATTAACAGATCAACTGTCATAAAGATACAGGAGCTAGAAAGAAATTATTTAGGCAGATAGTGAGAGCAAAAGAGTTCTCGGCAAAGCTTCCCTTCTAACAAAAATCAGCCAAAGAAATTATTTTTTTCTAACAAAGAGCAGCCTGAAAAATCAAGCTGCAAACATAGATAAGCAAGCTGGAAGCTTGCATGGGGGAATGCCGGCAGCTGTGCCAATGGAAAAGGGCTACCTGGGGACCAGGCATATCCAACATGGAGGCTCTATCTTCCCTTCTTTTTGTTACCACATGTATAGTAAAGGAATGGGCAACATGGTGCCAGCCAGGCAGAAGAACCCATTTGCATAATAAAAGATTAGGGTGGAGACTGCCAGTTTTTTGTGCCCTATGCAAATGACACACATAGTCCTAACCAGTTTTTCATGCCTTATGCAAATGGCACACCTGGTCCAACCAATCTTTTGCACCCTATGTAAATCAGACAACACCTCCTCAAGCTAATCTATAAAACCCCCTGCATTTCACCATGGAACTAGAAACCCATTCAGGACCCCTTTCTCTGCAACAGAGAAAGCTTTTCTCTTTTTTTGCCTATTAAACTTCCGCTCTCAACCTCATTCTTTGTGTGTCCACGTCCTAGTTTTCCATGGCCATGAGACAACCAATCTTGGGTATCACCCCAGACAACAAGGCCACTTCAATAATATTGCAGTGTTTGTGTTTAAGTCACCCTAATTTTACTTAATCGGGGCCCCAAAGTGCAATAATAGTGAAGCTGACAATTTCCATATGCCAAAGAGAAGAGAAAGAAAAAAATCATATGCTGAGATTACTAAGCTCTATGTAAAAACCTATCTTCTATCTGTAAAATTGCAAAAAAGGAAAAAGAAATTTGTACTAGTTTGCTGCCACATCTCAGATTGCAAAAGTTATGGCCACAGTGCATAATAAATACTTAGTTAAGATGAAAAAGGCATTACATTTATGGGTGGAAGACACAAACAGAAATGTGATCTTATATATGACAGTTGGGTTTGGTACTATACATAGTTTCAGGCATCAACTGAGGGGCTTCATAGGTAACACCCCAAATAAAGGGGGACTATTGTATTAATGTAAGAAATAGTGGGACCTTAAAAGGACCAAACCTTTTAGAAAAATTTGAACACTATATCCTTGAGTGTATATGGCATATCTTCTTATCTGATATATATATTTTTCTAACTAAAAAGATTCCTTTTGCAAGGCTGTCTCAGGATTGTATCAGGGGAGTTCTTCTTGGATGCTACAGTGTAGTAGAGAAAGATAATTTCCACTGTTTTCTTACCTGAGGAGTCTTCAGGGGCTATAGAAGATAAATAGCTGCAATTACAAGAAAAAAGGAGCCTACTAACTCCAGAAGGGATGTCACTAATGGGAATACTGTTGTTAAGTCACCTTTAAAGAAATGCACACACAGTGACCAATAAGCACTTTGTGTCTTGAAAGAAACACATCTTATGACTCTAATACTTATCCCAGCCTAGCTTTTAAGAGATAGCCTACGCAGGAGCCCATATAAAAGGTTAACCCAACAATTTGTGAATAGTGACCATGCCTTTAGCTTTCCTGAACACCTAATACATAAATTGACACAGAGCAGTATTTCAAAGAACAGATGAACAATTTTATCTCTTCCTAGCTCACTCCTAGCTCTATTTTTCTTTTTCCTTTTCTTTCCTAATAAACTGTTTTACATTTTATTATTTATTCATCTTACTGTTTTTCCTGCTGTGTATGCTCTCAAATTTCCTAAGTAGGAATGAACTTTACTTCATGTATGCTTCATCTTTCCCTTTATGATTGACACACTTAGGTAACATCACACTGGGCATGACAAGGTCCCAAACATACTCCTTTCTGCATATGTTTCCTGCAGCTTACTTCTCTCTAACACCCCAAAATTAATGTGGCAGGAACCATCTTATCTAGATTTATGGTTCCTAAGGAAGATTTAATTCTTGTGTCACCTAAGGTGACTGAATTAGCATCTTGTCACACATGAGGGTGAACAACACACACTGGGGTTTGTTGGGTGTGCAGGGGTAGGGAGAACATCGGGAAGAATAGCTAATGGATGCTGGGCCTAATATCTAGGTGACAGGTTGATCTGTGCAGCAAACCACCTTGGGACACATTTAACTATGTGACAATCCTGCACATCCTGCACATGTACCCTGGAACTTCAAAGTCAAAGGAAAAACACTTCTTGTGATGTCATTGAATAAAAAAGATAAATTAAGAATTATTTTCAGAAAATTATTTTGTATGACATAAGTCTTCAACTGGGGCTGGACAAATATAAATGTGACCGACTTTGAGACCCATTGTTATTTATTGGAACTAACTCCTAGAGAATAACATGTAATGAAAAACTAGCAATTTTAATGGCAAACGATCTGTGTCAGGGCATCCTTAATAATTTTACTAATATTTAAGCCTAAAATACGTATCGGTTTGGGGTTGTGGTTATGTTGATACAATTACTTGCAGCAATCACAAATCAGAATTTTTTTGGCAATTTCCTTAATCTCAACAGGGATAAATTTGAAGAAATTTCCAAAAATGATTGTATCTTGCTACGTGTTACAAATAAAATATAAAGCAAGTGTTGTAGTAACAGATGTTGAATAAATAACTATATGTTCTCTGAGTTATTACGAAAAGGGTACACTCTTAATCTAGCCTACCTCCTCCTTATGATTAAATTCAAATTCAGACTTCTTGGTCAATATCATGTAAATGTAGATAACTTGGTATGCACTTCACTCTTCTGTTCTTTTCATGATCTATTAATCCCCAAAGATCAGTAACAGTCTTACATCCATTTCTTTTTTCCATATTGCGGGCTTTAGTATATATTGCATGTAATATAAGTTAAAAAGTTACAACTGACTTCTTATAAGTAAGTGAATGAGTTTTCCCCATACATTTTTCATTTATGGAAAGATTATTCCTGTCTCTGGCTTTGAACAGTTTAAGTTTATACAGTGTTTTCTCCAATTTTCACCTGTTATACACATGTAAGATTTTAAGCAACTCATTCTGTGATGTAGTCAAATGAAGAGTCACGTATGTCTTCAACTTTTCAACATGCTCTGTGGTTTCATTCATAGAATGTAGTTATTTCAAGACTGTGAACAAAACTAAAGTCATAATGATCCTACAAAATATATGGATTCTCATATATTCAACAAGTATTTCTTGAATACCTACTGTGCACAGGTTCTGTGCTAAGCGATAATACACAATAACAAAACTATTGTGTATGAAGATGAAAATAATTATTAACTTTTTATTTCCTACAAAATGGAACCAAGAGAGATTTGCCACCTTTATTAGCTATAAAAGCACAGGTAGTATGGTAGTTGTGGGACCCATCACTCCTGTTAAAATTGCTGTTGAGTCTTTGTCCTTTTGTACTTAGATTCATTGAGTAGAAAGTATTTGTTCCGAGTAATAATAAGTTATGCTTTATTATCATCTGTCATTTTCTGCCTGAACTCTGCACCTTGAAATAAACATCAGAGGTAAGAAATACTTGGGTGTGCTGATGATGTAGTGTGGTGGGGTGAACTGAAGTTTCTCTGCCTCTTAGACAGATTGGATTTAGCAATCAGAGTGAAGCAATGGGGCATGGTGTCTTTCATTAATAGCTAATACAAGAAGCTTATAACATCATCAGGGCAGGGAAAGGGGAAAAATATCTTAATAAAAGAAGATAATATTTAGTTAGAAATAAAGCCAAAGTCAAGGTAGATGAAGAGAAATGTCTTTTGTGGTCAAGTTGGGAATATTTTAAAGAAAATTGTCTCCCACAAGATGTGATGTGAATAATTTCAGACATTGCAGGGAAAGAGAAGCAGAGTGGAAACCTTAAACTATTCTCAATCCCATTATTGGAACCAAAGCAAACCCCTCACCACACCTTTCTGGGCAGAACCAGCAGTATAACTGGGCAGATCCAAAACAATTTACTTGCATCATAACCAAAGTTTCACATTTGCAAGTCTTAAGGTGTCAAGTTGCTTGCCTTATGCAAAGTTAATGGCCTGAAGCATCAGAACAAATGAAAGCAAAGAAAACCAGTTGCTGAATGAGATAAAAGTGGGGAAAGGTGATTGAATTAGCAGTTTAGGAGCAACAAGAAGGAGCATGTACAGTCATCCCTTGGAATGCTTGGAGGACTGGTTCCATGACCCCCTGCAGATACCAAAATCCACCAATGCTCAAGTCCCTTGTATAAAATGGTGTAGAATAACCTACAAACATCCTCCCATATACTTTAAATAATTTCTAGATTGTAGACATGCATCACTTTGTGACGAGAGTACTTTTTGAGGATGCGTTGTTAGGCGATTTCATCATTGTGTGAACATCATACAAACTGAGCAGCATGTGACTGTACAAAACTATAGGGTATCCTAATACAATGGTAAGTATCTGTGTATCTAAACACCTGTAAACAGAAAAGGTACTGTAAACATATGGTATGAATAACAAAAAATGGCACACTTGTATAGGCCACTTAACATGAATGGAGCTTGTGGAACTGGAAGTTGCTCTGCATGAGTTAATGAGTGAGTGGTGAGTGAATGTGAAGGCCTAGGACAATACTGTACACTACTGTAGACTTTATCAGCACTGTCCACATGGGCTACACTGAATTAGTTTTACACAAAAATACTTTTTAAGGTATTCTTCTTTAATAATAAGTTAACCTTAGCTTACTATAAGTTTTTACTTCAAAAACTTCTTTTTTTTAACTTTTTGACTCTTGTAATAACACAGCTTAAAACACAAAAACATTTTACAGCTGTATGAAAATATTTTCTTTCTCTTTAAAATTTTTTATTTTAATTATTATAGGAACATAATAGTTGTATACATTTATGGATTATATGTGATGTTTTGAAACAGGCATACAATATGTTGTGATCAAATGAGGGTAATTGTGATATCAATCACCTTAAGGGTTTAGCTTTTTTTTTTTTTTTTTTTCGAGACAGAGTAGCTCTGTCACCCAGGCTGGAGTGCATTGGAGTGATCTCAGCTCACTGCAAGCTCCGCCTCCTGGGTTCACGCCATTCTCCTGCCTCAGCCTCCCAAGTAGCTGGGATTACAGGTGCGTGCCACCACACCTGGCTAATTTTTTGTATCGTTAGTAGAGACAGAGTTTCACCGTGTTAGCCAGGATGGTTTCTATTTCCTGACCTTGTGATCTGCCCGCTTCATCCTCCCAAATAAATTTATCATTTTTTTTGTGTTAGAAGCATTCAAATACCACTTTTACTTATTTTAAAAAATACAACAAATTATTGTTAACTGTAGTCACCCTATTGTGCTGCCAAATACTAGGTCTTCTTCATTCTATCTAACTGTTATTTTATACCCATCTATCATCCTCTCTTTATCACCCCATCCCCACTACCTTCCCAGCCTTTGATAAACATCATCCTACTCTCTATGAGTTCAATTTTTTTTTGTACAACCAAGATGGAGAACAGTATAAAAATTCCTCAAAAAATTAAAAATCAAACTACTGTATGTTCTTTCTTTATATTCTTATTCTATGAGCTTTTTTATTTTTAATTTTTTACATTTTTTTAAAACTGAGACATAGGCACACACATTATCCTAGGTTTTCACAGGGTCAGGATCATCAGGATCACTGTCTTTCACCCCGACATCTTGTCCCACTGGAAGGTCCTCAGGGGCAATAACATGCATGGAGCTGTCATCTCCTGTGATAATAACACCTTCTTCTGGAATACCTCCTGAAGGGCCCGCCTGAGTCTGTTTTACAGTTAACTCTTTTTTTTAATAAGTAGAAATAATGATAAATGGTATAGTATAGTAAATGTATAAACCAGTAACATAGTCGTTTATTATCAAGTATTATGTGCTGTATATAATTGCATGTGTTGTATTTCTGTACGACTGATTTGTTTACACCAATGTCACCACAAACACGTGAATAATGCATTGTGCTATGATGTTTTGAGGGCTACAACATCACTACGCAATAGAAAATTTTCAGCTCCATTCTAATCTTCTAGGACTACTGTCCTATAGACTGTTGTTGACCAAAACATCATTATGTGGCATGTAACTCTACTTATGTTATCCAATACAATATAAATGCTATGTAAATAGCTGTTATACTGTATTGTTTAGGGAATAATGACAAGGAAATAAGTCTGTACATGTTCAGTAAATACATTTTATTTTTTTTTGTATTTTAATCTGTGGTTTCTTGAATCCACAGATATGGAGCCCACAGATATGGAGGGCCTACTGTATAGGCTTAAGGATGTCTAAGGAGTATCCCTGGAGGACCTTATCCCTCCTCTCTCATCCTTCATATAGGCAGTATGGGATGTCTCTGTGTGTAGTACTCTATAAGGTATGTTGTAAGACTGTTACATTTCTTCACCACATCCATCTTACCCCAATCTATTTGGTTTTAGAACAATAATCTTATTCAGTAGTGACCCACTTATGGCTTCATTTGGATGGGCCTGTATTTCAATTCTGGAAAAAGCAGGCCAGCCAGCATTGTAAATAAGTAGGAAGTTCCCTTTACCCTTCTAGGCCAGCTTTTATCCTGTGGTCTGCTCAACACTCAAAATATGGATTCCAGGGAGTAAGCCACCTGAAACTAAAAACTTGATGCTACTTCAAATTATTTTTTAAATAATTATTTATTTTAAATATTGATCCTCCTCAGTGTTCAATTTGACAATCAATTTCAGCTTTTATATCAATTCATATTCTAAAAAGATGATCAACATATTTTGAAAAATCTTATGTTCATTTTCAGTTTCCAGAAAACTATCAACAAGTTAAGCATGAGAAAAGCAAAATACATTATCATCTCCTTCACAAATTCTGGTGGTGTACCTCCACAACACACACACAGTCACTACTAGAAGCTGGGCAAGCCTATTGACCACAGGGTCGTGAGTGGTGTGAGTGAGCCAAGGCATACACAAACATAACCATCATCAGTGACTAATGGAAAGAATAAAATGCCTTTTCTGAACTTGAACTACAGCACACATCCTTTATACCAGTAGCAATCAACCTTGGCTGTCCATTAGATTCACTTGGAAAGTGGGTAAAAATCTCAATGGTAAGGCCACAGACCACCATTAAATCAAAATCTCTGGTGAAGGGGTCCAGTCAGACATAGTTTCATAAGCTCCTCAAGTAGTTCCAATATAAAGACAAGTTGGATAATCAGTGCTTTAAATAATAGTTTACAATGGAAAAACCTTGTTGTGGACTATACTTTTAAGGTTCTTTTGTTGCAGTATTTTATATTACTACAGTGGACATATGTCTGACATTATGCAGACCCTTCAAAAATGCAAACTCACTTTGAAAAGACAGAAATCTGTGACAGGCATAATACTTTCATGTCAGATGTTTTAATGTGGCCTGTCATTCTAAGAGCATATGTTCTTTATCCACAAACTACTCTTGTGGTTCTAGGGCCTCTGATATGATACATTATTCCCATGATGCACATTAGCATATACATAAAAGTCCATAGAGGGAGGCTTTATTAGCAGGATGCCAGTGGAGTCAGGGGAAAAAATCAATGCTGCCCACTTACTGCCAGCATTGGGAAGCATTTGATACTTAATATTTGTTGGAGAACAGTGCTGAAATGCCATTTTCTAATCATATGCATTCCATGGAAAGGTGGCAGGGAGGCACAGTGTCCCACAAAAAGAACGAGATCATGTCCTTTTCAGGGACATGGATGGAGCTGGAGGACATCATCCTTAGCAAACTGATGCCAGAACAGAAAACCAAACACCACATGTTGTCATTTGTAAGTGGGAGCTAAATGATGAGAACACATGGACATACAGAGGGGAACAACACACACTGGGGCCTATTGGAGGGTGGAGGGTGGAAGGAGGGAGAGAATCCACAAAAATAACTAATGGGTACTAGACTTAAAACCTGATTGTGTTTCTGTATGCCTTGGCTCACTCACACTCACATCCATGTGGTATTAATCATATCTGGGTTAATACCTGTGTGGTGAAATAATCTATACAACAAGCTCCCATGACACAAGTTTACCTGTGTAACAAACCTGCACATGTACCTCTGAACTTAAAATAAAAGTTAAAAAAGAGCTCTCACAAACCTGCTGATGTGGTTTTCATGCCATTGTGGTATTTTGTGTTGTAACTGGTCTCAGTTATTTTATACTCCCATATTCTGATGAGGAGACATACAAGTGCCATTTATTATTGGAATTAAAAAACAAGAATTTATTTTTACTCTTCATGAACCTGGGTACTCCTTCTATAAAATCTCTATTTGCCAAATCTGTGGACACCTGAAATCTTCATAACTAGATAAGGCACTGAATTTTCCACAGTGCTCACTTTGCCAGCGTAATTTCCCATTACTTTTTGCTCTTTCTCTCAATTTTTTCATTATATCTTATTTCCTACTTCTTTAAGTAAGGATCATGAAGTAGAGAAAGAGAGAGAAGATGGAATACTATGGTTCTTATTGGGGACTCTAACGAAGATGCATCATATAAAACTTGGCTTAAAACTTAAAACAGTAAGATAAAATTTTATCTGAGGCCCAAGCCTCTAGAATTTATTTTAAAAAGTATTATACTAGTTAGTTTCAAGGAGTACAGGTTTTGTATTAGACACCCTTCTCATGGCATGACTCAGAATCTTAATGGGTTACTGTATTAATTTAATTTCAGGACTCATCTTTTAATAAGAATGTACACAACTGAGTCCATGCTAAAAACGAAAATGATAATGATAATAATGTTATATTTGTGGAAATGCTTATTCTTTCATTGCAGAAAGCTAAAGATGTTACAGTTGGATTAGAACTCCAAAGTGTAAATGTTCTTAAATCAGTGCAGGGGAAATGTAGGTCAAAGCACATAAGGTGTTTCCCAAGCCCTTGTTCCCTAGACCCATAGTAGAAGTTCTTGGAAGTTATACAAGGTGAATTTATCTCATTACTTATTCAGACTTATTCACTGAATGCCTGGTATTTTCCAAAGCTGACCAGGGCATGAGGATACAATATGTGCTGTCAGGACATTTCCAAATAGACAAGGAGAGAAATCTTTAAACAAATACACTCAATAGGAGCTGTAATGGTTGTGTGTATGTGGACACTATGAAACCACAGCTAGGGCCATGTCAACACTTTTCTGAGATACTCAGCAGCATCTTTTTTGGTAGAATTATATTTGACTTGATTTTTGAAATGTGAAGGAGTTCACAGGAAAGAAAGGGATAAAAGGAATTCCAGTTCGAGAATAAAGCATATGCAACTACAAATGCAGGAAGTTTGCCAGGCACTTGACTCTGAGTTAAAGGTGAGGGATTGCAGGTGATGTGGCCAAAGGGCAGCCAGAGCCTAAAAATTCAGGCTAAAGAGTCTGAACTTCATCTGTTTGGGAAATTGTGGCTGGTTAAAGGATGCCAGTTCTTTCATTTTGAAAGATAAATCTGATGTCATTAGAAAGCTGGAGTGGGGGCAGGGGTGGGGATAGACAGTATAGGAGGCCAAGGTAACAGTCCAAGTGAGGATGTGAACAAAGCAGTGGCTATTTACTTAGTAAGGTCATGACCAACCTAACAAATTTAGTGGACTGAGCACCAGCCTTGGAGCTAGGTTTCTAGACCCTGATTCTGACTCTGCTACTGACCGATCGGTCTTGTGTAAGCAACTCTCCCTTCTCTAAGCCTCAGATCTGTCCTTTGTAGAACAAGGAGCATCTTTCAGACCAGGTGATTTCCATGGTCCCCTCTGTTTCTCAAACACCATGGATTTTATGATCAGACTGCAGAGGAACAACCCTTCAAGATTTTAGGGCATACATCTACTCAGAGTGGTAAAAGTAGAAGGATTAAAGAAGCTCAGAGAGTTGTAGAAGCTCGTTTGTCCTTAAAATGCAGGAATCATGGCTTCTGATACATATAGGACGGTCAAGGTTTATTTCTCCCCTGCCTTGCCTTATTTCATTGACCCCAGTGTCTATCTAGCACTGGGTCAATGCAACTGATTTCATTCCTTCTCTAGTAAGTCCTTTCCTGACTACTCCATGCTCATTAATCTTTGTCCACTGGACTCCAGCAAACTCCAAAACACTCAGATTGTAATGAACATTTGTCACATTTGACTTTCCAGCACCCAATTCCCCTCTTTAGTTTGAAGTAATTGTCCCGAACAGGAATCTTTGTGAAAGACAGGGCCCAATCTTCCACTAAAAAGATGATAGAAGGAGAATCTCCCTCTCCTTGTCCCTGGCAACCAATTCACAACAGTCTAACGCTTCACTTGAGGAATCTGAATTTGAGAGAGTGTGACAAAGGTGAAGGAAAGGAAGTTACACGTGCAACTATGTAAGCATCTGGCACAAGGGGCTGGGTTTAGCAGAAGTGAAGAAAGCTTGTATCATTTTGTTTTTATACAAGCATCCTTGTATTTTCATTTTCTTAGAGTGGTTCTCTAGGCATCCTTTCACTTCTGCGAGCTATATTTTCCCTCCTGCTTAAGTAAGCCACAGTTAGTTTTAGTTTGGAGCAAAAAGCCTTAACTGACATACATTATATACTGTTTTAGGACTTCATGCTTTATCAGAATCTTTGGGTCTTGAATAATTAAGCAATATAAGGACAGAGGCCATATCTTATATTTAACGTGGATCTTATTATAATGCTCAGAAGTAGAATATATGGAAGTTGAGCAGTTAATATTTGTCAGTATATGGATTAACTTATGTCAATTCATATGCATGAAGTGTGAAATTTCTGTATATCTGCAAGAACAGTAATTGCAGGTTAGATATGTTTTCTTTCAAATATTGGTCTTATTTGATTTCAAGAATCATGGAAGAAAAATAAAAAAACATTATTTGGTTTAAAAAATTTGATGTATTGAATGATTAACAGTAGTTACAACATGTCTTCCATTTAAAAAAAAAACCCAGATTTTTAAACTGAATGTTGATTGCAAAGCCTTGTTTGGAAATAGGTATCTTACAAGCTGTCGTTAAGAATTCAACTGTTGTACAGGATGGTTTTCAATATTCTGATGACCTCAAAATAGAAAACCATTGTCAGGGAGACAATGAAGTCTAAAAATAGTTTAAAATATCTAAATGCACTTAGGGAAGCCTTTAAATGCTAGCCATGGTGACGTATTTCATCCTGCCATAAAACTCCCAGTTGAGAAATCTCTTCTGTAAAAGGTTATTTCCTTATTTTTGCTATGTTTGGGTTCTTCCGAATGCATCACAATAATTCTATCCATGCCAATAAGTTGTACATCTATGTCATCAAAATTGGATTTTTCTGTGCTGGATAAATATCCATTGAAATACATGAAAGAAATAGAACAAAAATATGTCTGTCTTGGCCCAAGTAGGACAATTGTGAAGGGTAGTGCCTGCTTCTGAACTCCCTGTGGGAATGGTTGGGATTTCCTCTGAGGCTGTACTGAAGCTTGACTTTTCCTTCTATCCAATCCTTCTTTCCTTTTCCTTCCCCTGGTGTTTATCCCCAGGGAACTCTTCACTAAATATCCAGCCTGCTAAACCCCATGTCAGATTTTGCAACCTGGGGAACCAAGTCTAGTACACTTGCCTGAAATCATTGAGAATAAGCGACAGAGTTAGAATTTTAAATTCATAGCTGTGGACTACAATGTCCATTTGGAAAATCTCGATAGCAAACTATGATGTAATTCAAAATAATGCATCAACCAAAATTATTCAAGCTAATTCCATGGTTTGAGAACTGCCCAAAAGACTTGTTCCTAAGAAACAATCAAATAAATGTCTGCAGTTGATGTTTACCAATCAGCTACGGGATGAAAAGACCACCACACAATCACACAATCAGACTTTCTCAGAACAGGTGGTTTGAGTCATCCATGGGACAACATAACTGATATTTTTGCAATGGGCCAGCTCTTCATCTGAAACAATGAGTCCCCTTCTCAGCCTTACAGGACCCCTTATCCATTGATGGCAGTCCTATTAAGACTCACCCTGGCAGGGCACGGTGGCTCATGCCTGTAATCCCAGCACTTTGGGAGGCCAAGGTGGGCAGATAGCCTGAGGTCAGGAGTTCAAGACCAGCCTGGCCAACATAGTGAAACCCCGTCTCTACTAAAAATACAAAAATTAGCCAGGCATGGTGGCAGGCGCCTATAATCCCAGCTACTCAGGAGGCTGAGGCAGGAGAAATGCTTGGAGTAGGGAGGCGGAGGTTGCAGTGAGCCAAGATCGTGCCATTGCACTTCAGCCTAGGCAACAAGAGCAAGACTTCGTCTCAAAACACAAACAAAAACAAAAAAGCTCACCCTTTTTTCCTCTACTCCACCCTTTTGGCACTCCCTAACCCTAAAGGATGTTTTATTTTCCTTATCATTTACCACCATCTATTGTGACTTTGTCGATTCATTTTGTTAATTTTCTCTCTTCTTCCTCACTAGACTGACAGCTCTATAAGGACATGGATTTTTGTCTGTTTTATTCCTTGCTGTGTCCCTAGCACCTAAATCAATGCCTGATACATAGTAGGCTCTAACTAGCATTTGTTGAATAAGTGAATTAATTAATGGCTATTTCTTCTTTGCAAAGGGTTACCTGGGAAGAGTTGTTTTCCCCTATAAATCCCAAAGCACTTAGTGTAGAACTTGATTATAAGATCCACTTCATTAAAACAGAGCAGCAAGTTTACTTAAATGTTTCTCCACTAACTCATTTCCAGTCTTTTCAATAGAACTCAAGACCACTGATAAAACGCATCAGGTATCCTATCAGTTCCATCTTTTTCCTTTTTTTAAAGGAAGACAAAATTTATTAAATAATAAAAAAGATTACATAATTGTTTTGAAATAGTTATCTTTGGCTACAAAGATCAATAACAAGAATAATGTGAGTCTGAGGTTGGACAGCCAATTGCTTGGCAGACATCCTGCAGAAATTTTTTTATGTCTAAGATTGCAATGGTCTTTGTGAAAGGTTGTGTTTTTTTGCGGTCTTTTGTGATAGTTTTTGTTATCAGACATACAAGCATGAAAACTCTATCCTTATGGTATTCCCTGACTACTTGTCAGAGTTTTCTTTTTTTTTTTCCTTTCAACTTTTATTTTAGGTTCAAGGGGTACATGTGCAGATTTGTTAAATCGGTAAATTGGATGTTGAAGCGGTTTGCTGTACAGATTGTTTCATCACCCAGGTAATTAGTATAGTGCCTGAGAGGTAGTTTTTCAAATTTAACCCACCTCCCACCCTCCATCCTCTAGTAGGCCTTGGTGTCTCTTGTTCCCTTCTTTGTATCCATGTGGACTCAATGTTTAGCTCCCACTTATAAGTGAGAACATGCAGTATTTGGTTTTCTGTTTCTGTGCTAATTCGCTCAGGATAATGGCCTCCAGCTGCATCCACGTTGCTGCAAAGGACATAATTTTGTTCTTTTTTAATGGCTGTGTAGCATTCCATTCACCTTTTCCTTACATCTTTCTCTCCTTAAATATTCCATTAATCTTATCCAATCAGGACTAATTATTGTCTCTGATTACTCACAGCTGCCTTTTGGAATTTCCCTTCAGCGTCAGCCTCAGAATTTCATTAACAACTCACCTGTGTTGTATTCTTATTTTTTACATTCATGTTTTCCTCTTTCATCGATTTACTTTCTATCTTTGGTGGAACACTCTCTCCCAAAATTTCTTATCCATTAGAGAGTGACCATTAACATTCTAAAATGACTTTATTCTGTCTTTGTGTTTGCAAGTTCCTCTATTGCTATAGTCCCTCTGCAATAATCCTTCTGAATAAAATATTTTAATGAGTTTGAATTTGTTTTTTATTTTAAATATTTAAGGTGAAATTGCTCCTTTTAAAAACATAGAACCAATTATCTTATTTTAAATTCACCTGGTGAGAACAGATTTCAAATTTTGTCTCCTACTACTGAGGCTTTCCAGAGTTTTGTTGGTTGAATCATTTTGTTTCATGGTAGCTTCCCTCTTGCAGGTTTAGCTTTCAGTTTTCTTTTGTACATTTAGTCAGTTACTTCCATGGATAGAAGCACTACGTGGATGAATTTGATTCAAAACTGAGCAGGGTGAGGAAATAGGACCAGTATGGAGCTTCCATTCTATCTCACTTTGTTTGCAGAAGAGCTTTCAGTGAAAGCAGAGATGACTTCTGTCACAGAAATAACATTGGCGCTGTAAAATGTAGTAGTAGCCATAAAATTAAGTTCATAGTCTTTATTGCCGGTGGCAGGTGCTCTTGTAGCTGCATTGGAACTTTCTCAGTTAAGATCATTGTCTTTCCCAGTTTAATGTTCTAGCCTCTACACACATTCTCTAGGCTTCACAAGGCTCTCTAAGCTATGCAAT
Organism: Homo sapiens; assembly: GCF_000001405.40. Lineage (NCBI taxonomy): Eukaryota > Metazoa > Chordata > Mammalia > Primates > Hominidae > Homo > Homo sapiens. Next base: position 35,130,406 of record NC_000023.11, read on the forward strand.
ATCCTTTAATGAGCCATTTTCACTTAAGTTGGCAAGAGCTAATTCATTTTGTAGAGGGTAGTTATTTCTGTCACATCTTGATTATCATGACCTGTTTTGACTAAACATAAGATAAACACTTTTATAAAGAATAATGATAAATTATGGCAAAACAAATTACTGTTGGAAATAGGCTTTCTTTGCTTGAGCAAGTCAACACAGGCTGAGTGTACAGCATTAATATAGAAAAATCTTGTTTTCTCTTTGTCAAAAGGAAGAGCACAGAAGAATGGCATGGTTTTGCTTGGTATGAGCAGCAGTACCACATCAACTCACTTCAAGTTTATGTTAACTCTCTTATTCTCTAAGCTAATCAACAGCAACTTTAATTTTCTCAAAAAATTTATAGAATGTTACATTAACTCACTATATTAATAATACATGCTGATGAGTTCTGATGAGAAGAATACAGTAGGTACTATAGATGCTTTGAAAAGTCATGTAACTTTGGTTCAGCTGGCGATCCAAAGGGAAGGTGAGGAGTAGGAATTCTGAAATGATGAACCAAGACCAAAAAACCCATTAAAAAAGAATATTGGACAAAATTATCAAAATACACCTTTTTACAACCTTGGCAATTAAACAATGTCTTACAACAATTAGAGGAACAGTAATTTAGGTGAAAAAACTGAAACTTGGAAAGAACAGTGGGCTTTGTGGTAATTGAACTTTCCCCATCCCCAGTCTTCTTTCCACATATCCGAGGCAGCATTAACAATCAGCAGACTCACAAGCTTGGTAGCTGTGAAATACAGCAGCTTGGCAGCCACTTGAAGGAATCAAAAAGGTTTGGAGGACAGGCATGGTGGCTCATGCCTGTAATCCCAGCACTTTGGGAGGCCGAGGCAGGTGGATCTTCTGAGGTCAGGAGTTCGAGACCAGCCTAACCAACATGGAAAAACCCCATATGTACTAAAAACACAATATTAGCGGGATGTGGTGGTGCATGCCTGTAATCCCAGCTACTCGGGAGGCTGAGGCAGGAGAATCACTTGAACCCAGGAGGCAGAGGTTGTGGTGAGCCGAGATCACGCCATTGCAACAAGAGCGAAACTCCATCTCAAAAAAAAAAAAAAAAAAAAAAAAAAAAGGTTTGAAGTTCTTCGGAAAGCCTATTCCTCAAAGAATTGTAACTATTTTACCCATCTGGCAGCTTCCTGGGAAAGCTTCATTTACAGAGTTTCTTGCAATTTGACCCATCTCAGGATTCACTTAGTGGAAAAAGCATGTATCAAAAACAATCAATGGCCATTGGTTAACACTGTTGCTGCCTAAGAGGCTGATACCAGCTGGGGTGAAAAAGAGGCTTAACAAAATCTTAAAAGGAAGATCTGAGGAATTACATGTTCATAGGAAGCTTTGAAAAGTTCTATTTTTGAAGATCTAGGAACCACATGAAGGGTTGTAAATTGTCAGTGTTGAAGCTTTGCACTGATACACACAGAGCCCCTTTAAAAAGGATGGAAGATTTAGTGTTTCAGATATTTCAGGAAATCTCTAAGCAATCATTAGCAGATATTTCAGTAGCTGTATTTTACATGGAATACAGATATTGCAAAATCAGTGTAGGAAAGGTACTGAACAGACACAGAAAATAAAATAAAAAACAAAATAAGACAAAAAAAATCCTAGCAATTATAACCCCAAGTGAGGTCGAGTTACTTCATTATATTTAAAATGTACAATTTTCAAATAAAGAATTATAAACAATTATCTCCATTTCCAGGAACACTGGGGGAAAATGACAAGCAGAAAGACCCTGAAACCTACAGGAAAGAGATAGTTCAAGAAAAAGGTAAGATTGCTCTAAGTGCTCTTAAGAGGATATTGGATTCCAAGTACATCTATCTAGGGATTTCCAATAGTAAAAGCTTAAGAGAAAAGAAAATGAAAGTCTTGGAGAGAGAATGAGAATGGTGGAAAGGCTATTTCACTCTTTAAGAATGGTAAGGAAAATAGTTTCTTCTGACAGGATAAAGTCCAGCTATAGATAATTATATTTATTTCTGAGGTCAGTCTTTTTGACACATTATTTTTCTTCATTCTCATTCCATGTGAGAGAGAGAAAACTAGAATTCTCTTTTTTCCAACTTTTAAGTTCAAGGATACATGTATAGGATGCGCAGGTTTGTTATATAGGTAAACGTGTGCCATGGTGCTTTGCTGCATAGATCGTCTCATCACCTAGGTATTAAGCCCAGCATCCATTAGGTATTATTCCTGATGATCTCCCTCCTCCCATCCCCTACCCTACAACAGGCCCCAGTGTGTGTGTCTGTGTGTTCTCATCATTCAGCTCCCGCTAATAGGTGAGAACATGTGGTATATGGTTTTCTGTTTCAGCGTTAGTTTGCTGAGGCTACTGACTTCCAGCTCCATCCATATCCCTGAAAAAACAAGATCTCATTTCTTTTTATGGTTGCATAGTATTACATGGAGCATACATACTACATTTTCTTTATCTGGTCTACCATTGGTGAGCATTTAGGTTGATTCCATGTCTTTGCTATTGTGAATAGTGCTGCAATGAACATACATGTGCATGTATCTTTATTATACAATGATTTATATTCCTTTGGGTATATACCCAGTAATGGGATTGTTGGGACAAATGTTATTTCTTCTTCTAGGTCTTCGAGGAACTGCCACACTGTCTTCCACAATGGTTGAACTAATTTACACTACCACCAATGGTGTAAAAGCATTCATTTTTCTTCACAACCTCGCCAGTGTCTGTTGATTTTTGACTTTTCAATAATTGTTATTCTGACTGGTGTGAGATGGTATCTCATTGTGGTTTTGATTTGCATTTCTCTAATGGTCAGTGATGTTGAGCTTTTTTTCATATGTTTGTTGGCCAGATATAGGTCTTCTCTTGAGAAGTGTCTGTTCATGTCTTTTCCCCACTTTTTGATGGGGTTGTTTGTTGTTTTCTTGTAAATTTGTTTAAGTTCCTCGTAGACTCTGGATGTTAGACCTTTGTTAGATGGATAGATTGCAAAAATTTTCTCTCGTTCTGTAGGTTGTCTGTTTACTGATGATAGTTTCTTTTGCTGTGCAGAGGCTCTTTAGTTTAAGTAGATTTCATTTGTCAGCTTTTGCTTTTGTTGCAATTGCTATTGCTTTTGGTGACTTTGTCATGAAATCTTTGCCTGTGCCTATGTACTAAATGGTATTGCCTAGATTTCCTTCTAGGGTTTTTATAGTTTTGGGTTTTACATTTAAGTTTTCAATCTATCTTGAGTTGACCTTTATATAGGTGTAGGGAAGGGGTCCAGTTTCAATTTTCTGCATATGGCTAGCCAGTTCTCCCAGCAACATTTATTAAACAAGGAATCCTTTCTCCATTGCGTGCTTTTGTCAGGTTTGTCAAAGATCAGATAGTTGTGGATGTGCAGCCTCATTTCTGAGTTCTCTATTCTGTTCTAATGGTCTATGTGTCTGATTTTGTGCCAGTACTGTGCTGTTTTGACTCAAATAGCCTTGTAGTATAGTTTGCAGTTAGGTAGTGTGATGTCTCCAGCTTTTTTCTTTTTGCTTAGGATTGTCTTGACTATTTGGGTACATTTTTGGTTCCATATGAATTTTAACATAGTTTTTCCTAATTCAGTAAAGAATGTCAATGGTAATTTAATGGGAATAGCATTGAATCTATAAATTGCTTTTGGTAGTATAGTCATTTTGACGATATTGATTCTTCCTATACATGTGCATGGAATGTTTCTCCATTTGTTTGTGTCATCTCTGATTTCTTTGAGCACAGTGGTTTGTAGTTCTTCCCTTGTTAGCTGTGTTGCTAGGTATTCTATTCTTTTTGCAGCAATTGTGAATGGGAGCTCATTCATGATTGGTTCTCTACTTGCCTTTTGTTGGTGTATAGGAAAACTAGTGATTTTCACACATCAAATTTGTATCCCGAGATGTTGCTGAAGTTGCTTATTAGCTTAAGAAGCTTTTGGGCTGAGTCAATGGGGTTTTCTAGCTATAGCCTCATGTTATCTGCCAACAAAGATAGTTTGACTTCCTCTTTTCCTATTGAATACCCTATATTTCTTTCTCTTGCCTTATTGCCCTGGACAGAACCTCCAATACTATGTTGAATAGAAGTGGTGAGAGAGGGCATCCTTGTTTTGAGCCGATTTTCAAGGGGAATGCTTCCAGCTTTTGCCCATTCAGTATAATATTGGCTCTGGGTTTTTCATATATGGTTCTTATTATTTTGAGGTATGTTCCTTCAATACCTAGATTATTGATAGTTTTAAACATGAAGGGATGTTGAATTTTATTGATGGCCTTTTCTGCATCTATTGAGAAAATCATATGGGTTTTGTCTTTAGCACTGTTTATGTGATAAATCACATTTATTGATTTGCATATGTTGAACCAACTTTGCATTCTGGGGATGAAGTGTGCTTGATCATTGTAGATAAGCTTTTAGAGTCCTGCTGGATTCAGTTTGCCAGTATTTTGTTCGGAATTTTTGCCCTGATGCTCATCATGGATATTGGCCTGAAGTGTTTTGTTTTGTTTTTTTGTTTGTTTGTTTTTTGCTGTATCTCTGCCAGGTTTTGGTATCAGGATGATGCTAGCCTTACAGAATGAGTTAGGGAAGAGGCTCTCCATTTCATTTGTTTTGAATAGTGTCAGTAGAAATGGTACCAGTTCTTCTTTGTACCCCTGGTAGAATTCAGGTGTGAATCTGTCTGGTTCTGGGCTTTTTTTTTTTTTTGGTTGGTAGGCTATTTATTACTGCCTCAATTTTAGAACTCATTATTGGTCTATTCGGGGATTCAATTTTTTCTTTGTTCAGTCTTGGGAAGGTGTATGTGTCCAGGAATTTATCCATTTCTTCTAGATTTTCTAGTTTATGTGCATAGAGATGTTTATAGTATTCTCTGATAGTTATTTCTATTTCTGTGGGGTCATTGGTGATATCCCCCTCATCATTTCTGATTGTGTTTATTTGAATCTTCTCTCTTTTCTTTTTTATTAGTCTATCTAGCAGTCTATCTATTTTATTAATTTTTTCAAAACAATAGCTCCTGGATTTGTTGATTTTTTGAAGGGTTTTTAATGTCTCTATCTCCTTCAGATCAGTTTTGATCTTAGTTATTTCTCGTCCTCTGCTAGTTTTTGGGTTTGTTTGCACTTGGTTCTCTTGTTCTTTTAGTTGTCACGTTAGGTTGTTAACTTGAGATTTTTCTAACTTTTTGATGTGGGCATTTAGTGCTATAAATTCCCTTTTTAAGACTGCTTTAGCTGCATCCCAAAGATTCTCATATGTTATATTTTTGTTCTCATTAGTTTCAAAGAACTTCTTGATTTCTGCCTTAATCTCATTATTTACCCAAGAGTCATTCAGGAGCATGTTGTTCAATTTCCATGTAGTTGTGTGGTTTTCAGTGAATTTCTTAATCTTGAGTTCTAATTTGATTGTGCTGTCATCTGAGAGACTGTTATTATTTCAGTTCCTTTGCATTTGCTGAGGAGTGTTTTACTTCCGATTATGTAATTAATTTTAGAGTAAGTGCCATGTGGTAATGAGAAGATTGTATATTATGTTGTTTTTGGGTGGAGAGTTCTGTTGATATCTATCAGTTCCACCTGATCCAGAGTTGAGTTCAGGTCCTGATGTCTTTTTTAATATTCTATCTTGATGACCTGTCCCATAGTGTCAGTAGATTGTTAAAATTTCCCACTATTGTTGTATGGGAGTATAAGTCCTTTTGAAGGTCTCTAAGAACTTGCTTTATGAATCTGGGTGCTCCTGTATTGGGTGCATATGTATTTAGGATGATTAGCTCTTCTTGTTGAATAGAACCATTTACCATTATGTAATGCCCTTCATTGTCTTTTTTGATTTTTATTGGTTTAAACTCTATTTTATCAGAAACTAGGATTGTAACCCTACTTCTTTCTTTTTTCCATTTGCTTGGTAAATTTTCCTCCATCCCTTTATTTTGAGCCTGTGTATGCCTTTGCCTGTATGATGAGTCTCTTAATGACAGCATACCCATGGGTCTTGATTCTTAAACCAGCTTGCCATTCTGTGACTTTTAATTGGGGCATTTGGCCCATTTACACTTAAAGTTAGTATGGTTATGTGTGAATTTGATTCTGTTATCATGTTGCTAGCTGGTTATTTTGCAGAGTTGTTTATGTGGTTGCTTCATAGTGTCACTGGTCTGTGTAATTCAGTGTGTATTTTTAGTGGCTGATAATGGTTATTCCTTTCCATAGTTAGTGCTTTCTTTGGGAGCCCTTGCAAGGCGAGACCAATGGTGACAAATTCCCTCAACATTTGCTTGTCTGAAAAGGATCTCGTTTCTCCTTCGCTTTTGAAGTTCAGTTTGACCAGATATAAAATTCTGGATTGGAAATACTTTTTTTTCTTTAAGAATGTTGAATATTGGCCCCCAATCTCTTCTGGCTTATAGGGTTTCTGCTGAGAAGTTCACTCTTAGTCTGATGGGCTTCCCTTTGTAGGTTACCTGGCCTTTCTCTTTGGCTGCCCTCAACATTTTTTCTTTCATTTTGACCTTGGAGAATCTGATGATTATGTATCTTGGAGTTGTTCTTCTCATGGAGTATCTTACCAGGCTTCTCCGCATTTCCTGAATTTTACTTCATGGTTGGATTCTCAGGGAATCATTTTATTACCATAATTTTAACATTACTGGGCTAAGAAAAGTTTCATGTTTGCCTTCTATACTATATACACTGGCCTGGTGATGTGAGACCTGATTAAAATCAGGTGATATGGCCTGTCTTGCTAGGTTGGGGAAGTTCTCCTAGATGATATCCTGAAGTATGTTTTCCAACTTGGTTCCATTCTCCCCATCTCTTTCAGGTACCCCAATCACTCAGAGGCTTGTTCTTTTTACATAATTCCATATTTTTTGGAGGTTTCATTCATTCTTTTTAATTTTTTCTCTATTCTTGTCTGCCTGTCTTATTTCATAAAGATAGTCTTCAAGCTCTGAGATTCTTTCCTCTGCTTGGTCTATTCTGCTATTAATACTTGTGATTGCATTGTGAAGCTCTTGTGTGTATTTCAGCTCTAACAAGTTGGTTATGTTCTTCTCTAAACTGGTGATTTTGGCTGTCATCTCCTGTACTAGAAAACTAGAATTCTTAAGGCAGAGTGGACTTTAAGACCCACGTTTTGTATGAGGGAAGGTAGTGTGGAGAAATATTGCATAAGAACAGAACTTGAACCCAATTATATGGGGGAAAATAAAAATGAAAAGAAAATGTCTGTGATAACCCAGGGACTTAGACTGGTGACTGGATTGCATGGTCTTTCACCATAATGGAGTTTAGAGGAGAATGGACATGATCATGGGGAAAAATGGCCTTTCATTTGAGACACTCAGGTTTTTAGATGCCTGACTTTAAAAGTGTAGAAATTTAGAGTCTGACACAAAGTGTTCTGCAATAACATAGTTCCTCATCGAGTTTGTGACAGAACTTGGAAAACCAGCATAATATTTTAGTCAGGTCTCATATCACCAGGTGAGTGTATACAGTATAGAAGGCAAACACGTCTTGGGAGGGTGTATGTGTCCAGGAATTTATCCATTTCTTCTAGATTTTCTAGTTTATTTCCGTAGAGGTGTTTATAGTATTCTCTGATGGTAGTTTGTATTTTTGTGGGATCAGTGGTGATATAACCACTTTATCATTTTTTATTGTGTCTATTTGATTCTTCTCTCTTTTCTTCTTTATTAGTCTTGCTAGTGGTCTATCAATTTTGTTGATCTTTTCAAAAAACCAGCTTCTGGATTCATTGATTTTTTGAAGGGTTTTTCGTGTCTCTATCTCCTTCAGTTCTGCTCTGATCTTAATTATTTCTTGCCTTCTGCTAGCTTTTGAATGTGTTTACTCTTGCTTCTCTAGTTCTTTTAATTGTGATGTTAGGGTGACTACTTTAGATCTACCAGAGGTACAAGGAGGAGCTGGTACCATTCCTTATGAAACTATTCCAATCAATAGAAAAAGAGGGAATCCTCCCTAACTCATTTTATGAGGCCAGCATCATCCTGATACCAAAGCCTGGCAGAGACACAACAAAAAAAGAGAATTTTAGACCAATATCCCTGATGAACATCGATGCAAAAATCCTCAATAAAACACTGGCAAACCGAATCCAGCAGCACATCAAAAAGCTTATCCACCATGATCAAGTGGGCTTCATCCCTGGGATGCAAGGCTGGTTCAACATACACAAATCAATAAACATAATCCAGCACATAAACAGAACCAAAGACAAAAACCACATGATTATCTCAATAGATGCAGAAAAGGCCTTTGACAAAATTCCACAGCTCTTCATGCTAAAAACTCTCAATAAATTAGGTACTGATGGGACATATCTCAAAATAATAAGAGCTATTTATGACAAACCCACAGCCAATATCATACTGAATGGGCAAAAACTGGAAGCATTCCCTTTGAAAACTGGCACAAGACAGGGATGCATGCCCTCTCTCACCACTCCTATTCAACATAGTGTTGGAAGTTCTGGCCAGGGCAATCAGGCAGAAGAAAGAAATAAAGTGTATTCAATTAGGAAAAGAGGAAGTCAAATTGTCCCTGTTTGCAGATGACATGATTGTATATTTAGAAAACCCCATCATCTCAGCCCAAAATCTCCTTAAGCTGATAAGCAACTTCAACAAAGTCTCAGGATACAAAAACAATGTGCAAAAATCACAAGCATTCCTATACACCAATAACAGACAAACAGAGAGCCAAATCATGAGTGAACTCCCATTCACAATTGCTTCAAAGAGAATAAAATACCTATGAATCCAACTTACAAGGGACGTGAAGGATCTCTTCAAGGAGAACTACAAACCACTGCTCAACAAAATAAAAGAGGACACAAACAAATGGAAGAACATTCCATGTTCATGGATAGGAAGAATCAATATCATGAAAATGGCCATACTGCCCAAGGTAATTTATAGATTCAATGCCATCCCCATCAAGCTACCAATGACTTTCTTCACAGAATTGGAAAAAACTACTTTAAAGTTCATATGGAACCAAAAAAGAGCCCGCATCGCCAAGTCAATCCTAAGCCAAAAGAACAAAGCTGGAGGCATCATGCTGCCTGACTTCAAACTACACTACAAGGCTACAGTAACCAAAACAGCATGGTACTGGTACCAAAACAGAGATATAGATCAATGGAACAGAACAGAGCCCTCAGAAATAATACCAGACATCTACAACCATCTGATCTTTGACAAACCTGATAAAAACAAGAAATGGGGAAAGGATTCCCTGTTTAATAAACGGTGCTGGGAAAACTGGCTAGCCATATGTAGAAAGCTGAAACTGGATCCTTTCCTTACACCTTACACAAAAATTAATTCAAGATGGATTAAAGACTTAAATATTAGACCTAAAACCATAAAAACCCTAGAAGAAAACCTAGGCAATACCATTCAGGACATAGGCATGGGCAAGGACTTCATGTCTAAAACATCAAAAGCAATGGCAACAAAAGCCAAAATTGACAAATGGGATCTAATTAAACTACAGAGCTTCTACACAGCAAAAGAAACCACCATCAAAGTGAACAGGCAACCTACAGAATGGGAAAAAATTTTTGCAATCTACTCATCTGACAAAGGGCTAATATCCAGAATCTACAAAGAACTCAAACAAATTTACAAGAAAAAAACAAACAACCCCATCAAAAAGTGGGCAAAGGATATGAACAGACACTTCTCGAAGGAAGACATTTAGGCAGCCAACAGACACATGAAAAAATGTTCATCATCACTGGCCATCAGAGAAATGCAAATCAAAACCACAATGAGATACCATCTCACACCAGTTTGAATGGCGATCATTAAAAATTCAGAAAACAACAGGTGCTGGAGAGGATGTGGAGAAATAGGAACACTTTTACACTGTTGGTGGGAGTGTAAACTAGTTCAACCATTGTGGAAGACAGTGTGGCGATTCCACAAGGATCTAGAACTAGAAATACCATTTGACCCAGCCATCCCATTACTCGGTATATACCCAGGATTATAAATCATGCTGCTATAGACACATGCATACGTATGTTTATTGCGGCACTATTCACAATAGCAAAGACTTGGAACCAACCCAAATGTCCATCAATGATAGACTGGATTAAGAAAATGTGGCACATATACACCATGGAATACTATGCAGCCATAAAAACGGATGAGTTCATGTCGTTTGTAGGGACATGGATGAAGCTGGAAACCATCATTCTCAGCAAACTATTGCAAGGACAAAAAACCAAACACCGCATGTTCTCACTCATAGATGGGAATTGAACAATCAGAACACATGGACACAGGAAGGGGAACATCACACACCGGGGCCTGTTGTGGGGTGGGGGGGGAGGGGGGAGGGGGGAGGGATAGCATTAGGAGATATACCTAATGTTAAATGACGAGTTAATGGGTGCAGCACACCAACATGGCACATGTATACACATGTAACAAACCTACACGTTGTGCACACGTACCCTAGAACTTAAAGTATAAAAATAAAAAAAAACTAAAAAAAAAAAGAAGAATTAATTTGTTCTTTAGTTCAAAGACTTTCTTACAGACAAGAGCGCAGTCATACATTTGATATCAGTTCCTACTGTTTTCTGAAAATTATATAGCATATTATGATTTAAGATATAAAAGGGGAGACTGCTCCTTAGGACTTGCCTGGACATGAGATCTTTGGCATAGACTTGGTACCTAGGCTTATGGTGAACCTAGAAATGTGGAGGTGCCCCGAACAAAAGGTAGCATGGAATGAATAAGCAAAGTCTTTGGGAGGTGAGGATTTTTCTTGGCCCTCTAGTTGCCAGGTTCCCAGGTTTAACCCCCCGTGTTCTTAGTTTCAGAGCCTCAGTTGAATGGGGTAGAGATGCTTTCCCAGAGGCCCAGAATACCGACTGTCTTTGAGAGGAGAAGTTGTACTGTGTCAGTCCCTACGTCATTAGGATGTGTGTGTCATCTGGGTGGTGTTTTAATTTAACACTCCATTGTACACAATAGCAATAAATAATAAATAAAATCTGTTCTGCTTAAGCAAAAAAAGAAGGCAAACATGAAACTTTTCTTAATTTAGTAATGTTAGAACTATGGTAATAAAATGATTCTCTGAGAATCCAACCATGAAGTTAATGAACACAAATGAATTAAATTATAAAAAGTAAGAGAAATTTATTGTTGGAGAGAAAAATGTCTTCAATTTGGTCTTGGAGAGATGAACGTCTCCAGTTTGTTAAGACTTCACTCAACATGAGTGAAAAATGGAGTCAATTGCAAAGAGGTATACTTAGTGGAGAAAATATAGAAATGGAAGATTGCACATGCAAAAATGCATTGGTGTCACCCACGCAAGCATTTTGCAGATGAAAAATGTTCCAGTTCCTGGATCCAATTCCAATCATATTCATATGGCAAGAAAGGAAATTTTAAGCAAAGAAGATATGTTCTCATAATTAAGGCCTCATAGCCCCCAAGTAAACTGATATAATGTTTTTCCTATGTACTGAGAGAGGGTGTCCTAGTCATTTCAATTTTAAATAGTCTAGCCTTTGGGAGAATTATTTTGGATTGTGAAATAAGAAGTTTGTATTCTGGTCTTTGTAGCAATTTCTGCAGGCACGATGTGCTAAATATTCCCTAGTTTTTCAGAGAGACTGACTTTTATGGTCTGTGTTACCTGAATTCTTTGCCCTTTGGATTTTGGTTAAATTTGGTCAATATGTGGTATCAGCAGGAGATCAGAGAGCAAGAAGAGAAAGTGGGTGCAAATTTACTTCTGCAGCACCTTTCTGCTAGGTTCCAGGTTGGCATGTGTTGCATTTTCTTTCTAAAGCCAAGGCTCGAAGTAGAAGAATCCTGTTCATCCACAGGTCTGTTGAGGTTCTGAAAACCACTCCACTTCCTTGTTCTTTAGGCTTAGATGCAGAAATGGTTTCTATTTGTAAATAGCCTGGAGGTACTCCACCACTCCTTGTTGGATTAACATAACCCTGCTCACAATTTTGGCAACTGTTTCTTCAAAAAACTATTTTCAATTACTCCACTTGAGGGTGGTAACTTTTTCTTGTTGATCCTCAGATTGATAGCAGAAGGTTATTGTGAGTTGACCCCTCATGGTGGATACAGACACTCAATTTGCTTACATAACCACCTGTTTGAACATACAGAATGAATAACTGATTCTAGAAAATAATAAATTCATCAGTAGTCTAAATGGCTTGATAGTACCCTTAACTTTGCTGTGTGACATTCAATATATTCCACAGGACATGGCTACTATACTTGCTCGTTTACCATCAGAACTGAAGTGTAGAATATGAAAAGACACCACCGGATCATCATGGAGCCAAATTAATTGTTCTTTACTTCACTTGTACAACCATAGCCTTACTTCCTCATGATGATCAGGGTCAATTTTCCTTGCCAGGAATAGTGACTTCTTCCTCACCTGCTGCTTTCCTGGCACAGAGAGCCTGAAATATCTGGGCAACAGCCATAGTTTAAAGTTTAATAGACCTCTTGCTATGTTCCTTGTTGGAAACATTCCACTCTGCAATCTACACATCTAAGCCTGAAGATTTTACAATTATTGTGAAGGGAAGCACAGATACTCCAAGTGTTGTGCACTTGGATGTGATGATTAGGACTATTCCTACTTCTACCCTGTGGTTTCTGTACCCATGAATTTTACCTGTTTGTACACAGAACCACACTTTGTTTATTGATTTTGGTTGTATACAGTGGCAATGGCACTCTGCTATTATTTTCAAGCCAATAGTTCAGTTGAACTTTAAAAAGCTTGTTCCATTTTTATATCAAACCAGCAACGTCTGGGTGATATAGTGTGGGAAATTCATAGTTAATACACTATGGGAAACTTCTTGGTGATACAATATTATGGAAAATTCATGGTTACTTGCTCATTGCTTTATTTTTTTTATAAGGTTAGTCCCTTGGTACATGTGAAGCTATATAGATATCCTGTATCTTTGTGTATTCCCTAGTGTTCTTAGCAGATGCTGTTTAGGTATGAAGGAAAAGCCCATACTTGGAGTATGTGTTGAACCCAGTAACAGTGAATTGCTAATCACCTTGCCACCATGGAGTTGGTTGGTTTCTTCAAGGGATGGTGCCATACTGGGCCTTAGTGTTGGTCTTTGTTGCTGGAAGGTTGGTCATTTGGCAGAAGCAGTGGCAAAGCCAGCCTGATGTGTTGGATTGCATGCAGTTGGTTCAATGCATAGCCTCTATTCCTCCACGCTGGCTGCTTTGTGTGCTCACTGTGCCAGCTAGAGATAGCAGATGTTAGAGGCTGGCAGTTGCTAACTAGCAAAATCATTCTGAATACTTGGTTGTTTAGTATCTTCCATGGTACATAGTCTCAGATCAACATTGATTTATGATACAAAAATGTTTAACTTTTATTCCCATTCCAATAGGTCCATCCACATGCTTCTTCCCCAGGATTCTTTGTTACTGATCTTCCAACTGGACAGTGACTGATCTTAGTGACTGGACAGGACACTGATCAACTGTAAATCCATTTGCCACTGCCCATGAGATGCTACATTCTTACCTCAGGCCACTTCTTTTTCCACGAAAAATAGACGACCAGCTGCATCTTTTGAAGAACTACCTATGTGGAGGATTTCTCCTAATTAATGACATTTAGGGACACCATTGAGTGAAGCTGCAGTGCTACCATAGTTTTTTTGTTGGTTTGTCTTTCCTACTGAACTAACCCATGTACAAACTGTATACTCTTCTTGATTTTTCTTGTAATAGCTAGGCATAAGGGCCCTCCCCTGTGCTGCCATCAGTGTGAAGTGAGGCAGGGGTGCTCATAAAACAGTGGAAGATAGATCTCCTTGTGGGGCAGTTCACTTGTGTGTTCATCTCTACTCATGCCAGATCCTGCAAATACCACATCCATCTTATAGTGGAATGCTGCTGGGCCTGCTTAGCCATATGGCTTGGTGGATCTGACACAACTCACACAATTTAACTAGTTATGCATGCATGATCCCTTGATATGCCCATGCACTAACATATGTCTTTTATCACTTCTCTAAATTGAGGATCCTCTGGGTTTTCTCATGGAATGTAGCCTGCTGCTGGATCTCTCAGCCTTATGT